>NC_000003.12:164766180-164917695 GCF_000001405.40 Homo sapiens | reverse complement strand
ATATAAAAATTCCAAGAATTAAAGATTGCATTATCAATGTGTGAAATATAGTGTGATGAGTATCTTTATGTTGATATTACTTGAAATTAATCTTATGAGGTTCCAAAAGTTTCTAAACTCTAATTAGAAATGACCTGATCTCAGGAGTAACGTAGTATCATGTTACCACACTCTTTTCATAAGAGTAGTCATAGATTCAACATCAAAATATGTAATAAATAGAGTAACCGCTTTTAAGTTAGGCTTTAAATTCTAAGCCCACAAAAGATATTATTTATGCATTTCTTTTTCTTTTGACTATATATGGCACAAGAGTTACATATTAATCTCTTACCTTGGAGGTGTGATGAGGATTTACTGTGTACCTGATTTTACCAACCTGGCATATGTAAATTGGTGAGTGAACGAGCGTGGGCTTTTTCAACAGAAAAGTAAAATTAGATGATTTCAAGTGTAAGTAATTATTTTACATATTGTTTTAGTAAAAAAAAGACACTATCAATTACAGGATACAATTCTTACATAAAAATCTTTTCTTATCCCATTTAATAAGCATTTTTAGCAATTCTTTCAGTCTCCTTGAGTTAAAAGTTCAGAAATAATTTTTATTCATACAGAGGAAGAGAAAATAAGAAAATTTGTGCCTTGTCTCCATTTCCTTCTGAAAAATACACTCACCTACCTCTGGAGTTTACTAATTATTAATCTAGAATGATCATAATAAAAAAATTTTGACAATAAAATTTTGTTGTCATGATAAAAGTTGCATAAAAAGTAAAAAGTTTCTAATGAATTTTTACTTTTGGATTCTGGATCCTTGAGGATTGAAAGAATTTAGCTTCATGTGAACTAAACAATCATTGAAATATAAAACTTCTAATTTTAAAAAATTGAACCTGTAGAATATACCAGGCACTGTGTTATGTGCAAGCAATAGATCTCACCTCAAGGTGATTTTGTCCCTCTAATGAATATATGGTTGTCTTTAGAGACATTTTGGGTTGTCATAACTAGGAAGCGCTACTGATACTAATTGAGTAGAAGTCATGGATATTGTTAAACATGTTACAATGCACTGTACAGCCTCCAAACAAAGAATTATCTGGCCCAAAATGTAAGTAGTACCAAGGCTGAAAAACTGTAGGCAACAGGGATATAAAGATAAAGTAAACACATAGTTATATATTTAAAAATTGTAAATACTGCAGGCATATTTTGTTTTATTGCATTTCACTTTACTGTACTTTATAGATACTGCATATTGCAGATTTTACAAATTAAAGGTGGATGGCAAGTGGGCAAATATACTGGTATTGTTTTTCCAACAGCAGGCATTTACTTTGTGTTTCTGTGTCACATTTTGATAATTCTCACAATATTTCAAACTCTTTTATTATTGTCTTATCACTAATGGTGATTACTTTTGATCAGGAATCTTTGCTGTTATTATGGTAATTGGTTGGGGCACCATAACTGTACCCACAAAAAACACCAAACTTAATGGGTAAATACTGTATGTGTCCTGACTGCAATACTAACTAGCCATTCTTCTATCTCTCTCCTCCTCAAACATTCCTGTTCCTTAAGACATACAATATTGAAATTACACTAATTCATTGCCTTACAATGGACTCTAAATGTTCAAATGAAAGAGTTTCTTGTCTCTTAGGTTAAATTAAAAACTGGAAATGATAGGCTGGGCGTGGTGGCTCACACAAATCCCAGCATTTTGGGAGGCCGAGGCGGGTTTTATATTTAAGAAATACATTTTGTACAGATGTAGCTGCCGTAGATAGTGATTCCTCTGATAGATAGGAGTAAAGTAAATTGAAAACCTTTGGAAGGGTTTCACCATTCTAGATGCCATTAAGAAAATTTCTGAGTTATAGGAGGTCAAATAGCAACATGAATAGGAGTTTGTAAGAAGTAGATTCTAACCCTCCTGGATGACTTTAAGTGCTTCAAGTCTTCAACGGAAGAAGGAGCTACAGAAGTGGTAGAAAGAGCAAGATAGGAAGAATTAGAATTGGAGCCTGAAGATGTAACTGAATTGCTGCAATATCACGGTAACATTTGAACCAATGACAAGTTTCTTCCTATGGATGAGCAAAGGAAATGGCTTCAGAGATGAAACCTGCTTCTGGTGAAGATGCTGTAAACATACTCAAAATGATAACAAAGTATTTAGTTGATACATAAACTTAGTTTATAACTGTGGCACAGCTTGAGAAGATTGACTCTAATTTTGAAGGAAGTTATACTGTGAATAAAATGCTGTCAAGAAGCACATCACATGCTACAGAGAGATCTTTTGTGAAAGGAAGAGTCAATTTGGAAAACTGAATTGTCTTAGTTTAAGAAATGTCCACAGCCACTTCAACTTTCAGCAACATCACCCTGAATAGTCAGCAGTCATCAACATAGATGTAAGACCTTCCATCAGCAAAAAGATTAGGACTTGCTGAAGGCTCAGTTGATTATTAGCATTTTTTAGCAATAAAGTATTTTTAAATTAAGGTATGTAATGCATTTTTAGACATAATTCTATTGCACACTTAATAGACTATAGTATACTTTAAACATAACTCTTTTTTTTTTGAGACAAGATCTTGCTCTGTTGTCTAGGCTGGAGTATAGTGCCTTGATTATGATTCACTGCAGCCTTGACTTGTGGGCTCAAGCAATCCTTCCACCTCAGCCTCCCAAGTAGCTGGGAATATAGGCATGAGCCACAACACCCAGCTAATTTTTTTTGTATTTTTTGTAGAGATGGGATTTTCCCATGTTGCCCAGGCTGGTCTGAAACCCCTGGGCTCAAGCAATTCTCCTGCTTCCGCCTCCTAAGTTGCTGGGATTACAGGTATGACCCACTGCACCTGGCTAACATAACTCTTATATGCAGTGAGAAACCAAAAGATTCTTTTAACTCACCTTGTTGGGATATTCCTTGTATTGTGATGGTCTGGAATCAAATCCGTATCTCCAAGATATGCCTGCACATACTAAGGTCTATAGTTTTGAATAATCAAAGTTATTTCATTTATGTACATTTATTTAAGAAATATTTTCACTCACTATGATATAATTTCTTTGGTAGAGATCAGTAGCCTTAGTGATGGGCAAGGTTTAATATATCTTTATCCATGACATTGCTACTAAGCATGTTTCAATTGAATGCAAGTCTCAGACAAGAGTTTGTCCACATAAAATCTTTTTGGCAAGCAAGCTCAGTGATAATCTTCCTCATGTTCTCTAAGCTCTAGGAAGAACTAGTTTTCTGTCCTTGATGTGCTCTCATCAGCACTGTGCACAAAATGCTTCTCCTGGTACATGAAACAATATTCTAGCAGAAATATCAACAAGCTCTCCTGTCAGGTTTGATTATAGGTATGATTGGACTCCTAAGTTTGGGATGCATTTCTAAAGTGTATAAGTTACTGGTTTCACTGGGTTCTTTTGTCTGATACATACAAAGTAGAATTCCTTAAAAAAAATTCTTGCTAACTGATATAGTTTGGCTCTCTGTCCCCACCCAAATCTTATCTTGTAGCTCCCATAATTCCCACATGTTGTGGGAGGTACTCGGTGGGAGATGATTGAATCACAGGGGGTGGGTCTTTCCCATGCTGTTCATGTGATAGTGAATGGATCTCATGAGATCCGTTCACGTGGTAGTGAACAGATCTCATGAGATCAGATGGTTTTAAAAGCGGGAGTTTCTCTGCACAAGTCCTCTCTTTGCCTGCTGACATCCATATAAGATATGACTTGCTCCTCCTTGCCTTCTGCCATGATTGCAAGGCTTCCCCAGCCACATTGAAATGTAAATCCATTAAACCTCTTTCTTTGTAAATTGCCCAGTCTTGGGAATATCTTTATCAGCAGTGTGAAAATGGACTGATACAGTAAATTAGTACCAGTAGAGTAGGACCTTGCTGAAAAGATACCCAAAAATGTAGAGGCAACTTTGGAACTGGGTAACAGGCAGATGTTGGAACAGTTTGGAGGACTCAGAAGAAGACAGGAAAATATGGGACAGTTTGGAACTCCCTAGAGATTTGTTGAATGGCTTTGACCAAAATGCCAATAATGGTATGGACAATGAAATCTAGGCTGAGGTGGTATCAGATGGAGATGAAGAACTTGCTGGGAACTGGAGCAAAGGTGACTTGTTATGTTTTAGCAAAGAGACTGGTGGCATTTGTCCCTGCCCTAGAGATTTGTGGAACTTTGAACTTGAGAGAGATGATTTAGGGTATCTGGCAGAAGAAGTTTGTAAGCAGCAAAGCATTCAAGAGGTGACTCAGGTGCTGTTAAAGGCATTAAGTTTTAAAAGGAAAACAGAGCACAAAAGTTCAAAAAATTTGCAGCCTGACAATGTGATAGAAAATAAAATCCCATTTTCTGAGGAGAAATTCAATCAGGCTGCAGAAATTTGAATAAGTAAGGAGGAGTCAGATGTTAATCCCCAAGACAATGGGGAAAATGTGGCCAGGGCATGTCAGAGGTCCTCATGACAGCCCCTCCCATCACAGGCCTGGAGGCCTAGGAGGAAAAAGTGGTTTCCTGGGCTAGGCCCAGGGTCCCCATGCTGTATGCAGCCTAGGGATTTGGTGCCGTGCATCCCAGCCACTCTAACCCTGGCTGAAAGGTGCCAACATAGAGCTTGGGCTGTGGCCGCAGAGAGTGCAAGCCTCAAACCTTGGCAGCCTCCATGTGGTGTTGACCCTATAAGTGCACAGAAGTCAAGAATTAAGGTTTGGGAACCTCTGCCTAGATTTCAGAAAATGTATGAAAATGCCTGGATGCTCAGGCAGAAGTTTGCTGTAGGGGTAGGGTCCTCTTGAAGAACCTCTGCTAGGGCAGTGCAGAAGTGAAATGTGGAGTGGGAGCCCCCACACAGAGTCCCTACTGGGACACTGCCTAGTGGAACTGTGAGAAGAGGGGCACTGTACTCCAGACCCCAGAATGGTAGATCCACTGATAGCTTGCACCATGCACACAGAAATGCTACAGACACTCAACACCAGTCCATGAAGGCAGCTGAAAGGGAGACTATACTCTGCAAAACCATAAGGGTAGGGCTTCCCAAGACCGTGGGAACCCACCTTTTACATCAGCATGACCCAGATGTGAGACATGGAGTCAAAGGATTTGTCTCCTTTGCATGGAGTCAAAGCATTTTGGAGCTGTAAAGTTTGACTGCCCTGCTGGACTTTCAGGGGCCCTGTAGTCCCTTTGTTTTGGTCAATTTCTATAATTTGGAATGGTTGAATTTACCCAATGTCTGTAGTCCCACTGTATCTAGCAAGGAGCTAACTTGCTTTTTATTTTACAGGCTCATAGGCAGAAATGACTTGCCTTGTGTCAGATGAGACTTTGGACTGTGGACTGTTGAGTTAATGCTGAATTGATTTGAGACTTAGGGGGACCATTGGGAAGGCATGATTGGTTTTCAAATGTGAAGACATGAGATTTGGGAGGGGCCAGGGGCTAAATGATATGATTTGGCTCTGTGTCCCTACCCAAATCTCATCTTTTAGCTCCCATAATTCCCACATGTTTTGGTAGGGACTTAGTGGGAGATGATTGAATCACGGGGTGGGTCTTTTCCATGCTGTTCTCATGATAGTGAATGAGTCTCATGAGATCTGATGCTTTTAAACATGGGAGTTTCCCTGCATAAGTCCTCTCTTTACCTGCTGTCATCCATGTAAAATGTGACTTGCTCCTCCTGGCCTTCTGCTATGATTGTGAGCTCTCCTCAGCCACATAGAAATGAAAGTCCATTAAACCTCTTTTTTTTTTTTTTTTTTTTTTTGTAAATTGCCCAGTCTTGGATATATCTTTATCAGCAGCATGAAAACAGACTAATAAACTAAAGTATAGGCAATGAACATCTTTCTAGCATATAGATACTGAACATCTTATTAAACAAGCAAAGAAATTATTTCAATAACATTTAAATAATTTATAATGGTAAATAATGAATCTTTTTATATTTAGCACAGACAAAGGTGGTTGAAAACATTGGAGTAGCTGCAGGTCTGATGTGAACATTTGACTAGAATATTTCAAATATTAATTTACCATTCTGTGGTGGGTGTGGATTTCTGATCAAATTTAAATATCATGTACATATTGAAAGATTTCAAAATTAATGACAGATATTACATTCACTTGTATCTCTTAAGAACTCATTTTTTTGAATATAGAATTTGATGTACAGAGAGATTAAATATATGCCTAACATTACGTAGTGGTAAATTGCTGACCAAAATTTGACAAAGGCTTGTTTAATCTCAAAGTTCTTACTCTAATCCTATATTACTCCCTTTACAAGAGTTAACCACCTAGGTTTACAGAGAGACAGATAATCATAATGCAGTTTAATTAGTGCAGCAATAGTGATTTTCCACAGGTATATTTGGACGAGATAGAATTGGTACCCCATTAAGTTGGGAGCTGGGGGATAAAGCTGGATGTTGAAGGAGTAGTTGGTTGAAGGCATAGGAAAAGCAGGTTCAGGAAAGGCAACATTGGCTATAAGTGAGTTTTCTGTTTGAGGAGATTTAAAAAGCCTGTGACAAATGGTGAAAGGTTTATTTTCTTCATTGATGAAATTGGTCAGGGTATTGTAGGCAGCAGAAAATAGTTGAAATGTTTCACATAAAAGAAGCACATTTTAAATAAATCTTTGTGGCAAACGCATAAAGGATTGATTTGAAAAAGACAAAACTAGAGTCAAGGAGATCAACTGGAGGGTTTTTAGAGTAAATTAGGAGGAAAAGACTTTGTCTAAACTTGGAGAGATATGGGTTAAGTAAAGGTTATGGAAGGGATGAACATGAGAAATGTAAACCTTTTGGATTTGTGAGTAATTGACTAAATTCAGGTGGAATGTTGCTTAAGAAAGATGAATCAAGGATTACTTCCAAAGTTCTATCTTGGGTAAGTGGTTGATTACACATGGTGAGGGTGGGATTTGGGATAGCAGAATGATTTCTGTTACGAACATACTGAATTGTGTTGCTCATGGATAGCTAAATAAAGGACAAAGCTTAACAATAGTTTCCTTGAAGCTGTCTCAAAATTTCTGTAAGAATAAAACTGTTCTTTCCTATTTTCCAAATAGTTTTATTTTATGATAAGGAATGAAAGGCAACGTGTTTTGCAGGTTCATGTTCCTCTGTCCATACATAGTATTTATCAGTGGTACTGTGCCAGCCAATTTGTTTTGAAAAAAAAAAAAAAAAAAACAGTGGCTTTTACCATGCTTTCATATACGTAATTAATTTCATTGTAAAAATAATGATATCTCCTGTCAAGCCTGGCTTCATTCATCAGTTCGAAATGTATCCTTATGAGTTATCATCTATTCAGAGGATAAAGCTGAAAATTAACATCCATGAGGTTTGGAGATTCTATATATGACACATGCACAGAGAAGTGAGTTAGAATTATTTGCAATAGATTTAGATTTACACAAGTAGTTAAGTTAGATTTCTATGTCTGAAAATAACAATTCTTGTCATTTTCCAAATGATTTATATGACCAAGATTGCTAACATTTCAGGCAATACTCAGTCCCATAGTGGGTGAAAATAATAAAATAGTTTCTATTATATGGTGCTTAGTATATATTACATATCCTATTCGTTATTTTACACTTACTGAGCTACATTCTCATTTATTTTAATCCTCTTAACAATCCTATGCCTTTTTTAAGGTATGATAAAGCTGAGGCATACAGAAAGGTAAGTAACACGTCCAAGATCACATAACTAGTTACTGACACAGCTGAGACTCAGACTCATGCTTCTCACTCTGAAATTCATGATTTTCATCAACACACTATTGAGAATAATATTATTATATATGTTAGCTTTGATATGCTCTAATTACAAAAATAGATCAATAACATGCAAGAGTTTGTATTTTACTGTGATTTTTAATTTTTGTTTTACTCGGATGGATGGATACTCACACTCTTGTGTATCATGACACTGTTAAAAACATAGAAAAGATTATTAGAGCATAGCGAATTTTAAAAACTATGAAAAATAAAGCAGAAACTAATAAAAGAGAGTCTAGATCGATACTTTGTATGCAGCAAGGATGCAATAAATATTTGGAGAATAAATGGAAGAAATGACAATTGGTACATCTGATTCATTTACATAAAAATTGAATAAATAGGGTTCTTGTTTAGGATTATTTAGTATTATGTATTGAGCATGAAAAATGTTTGCCATGAACAAATATTTTGATCTTAGTATTATTAATATTGAGCAGTTCTTTCTAATATTAATTACACCAGAGTACCTACCAGCTTCCCAGCTATCCATTTCATTTTATTGTATGTTTTTATTGCAAAAATAATATATAATCATTTATATTTGAAGATAAGTTACAAAGTATAAAGATAAGGAAGAAAATAAAATCACCCATAACTGAATCATTAAAGAGATTACTGCTATTAACACTTTGAAAAATAGGTTTCATAAGAATTACGTTGCAAGTACCAATGCCTGGATGATACAATGAACGAAGGTCAATTGTATTGCACAATTAAGTCGCAGTCCACATTCTTGTTCTTTTAAGGGTTAAAACCTAATTTCCAGTGACATGTGATCCTTTACTATCTAATATTGATGAAAATTAAGCAGTTAAAGATGAAAATCCTTTAACAAATAATGTATGCAATTGTCCCTTGGTATCTGTGGGGGATTGGTTCTAGGAACCAGATAGATATCAAAATCCATGACTGCTCAATTTCTTATGTAAAATAGCATATCATTTGCATGTAACCCACACTCATTATTCTATATACTTTAATATCTAGATTACTTATAATACATAATATAATGAAAATGCTATGTAAATAGTTATCATACTGTATTTTATTTGTATTATTTTATTGTATTTTTATTTTTCATTTATTTATTTTGCCAAATTTTTTTTATCTCCAATTGATTGAATTCACAGATTCATACCAATGGATATAGAGGGGCAACTGTATTTCCTTTAACAGAAATTGTCTTTGAATGAGGGTAAGATTAGAATTATAGAATATTTTTCGAAGAAAATGTGATTATTTATAGAAATACATAATGCATAAGAGATTATCTCCAGCCTTCTCAGATTCATAGCTCTAAGGTTCCTTCTGGTGTTAAATGCTTTGAGCCAAGTTCTGATTTTACCTGATTAGCTTCCTAAGTAAAAAAATGATAGCTAACATTTATTGAGCCCCTGCTAACTGCACTGAAGATTGCCTGACCCTGCAAGGTAGTAAGGCAACATTTTTATTTCTTTATGTTTTGGGAAATTGAAGGGTAAGATCTGTTAGAGGCAGAAAATTAGAAAGTTTATTATGCAGAAATAAAACAAGAGTCCATCGAGATCTCAGGAGAGATCTGGAAAACTATCAGGATCCTCAGGGTCCTCCCTTGACCTGTTTGTGTGTGTCTGGCTAACTTTATCTGTTATGCTGATCTATGGTAAAACATCGGTTCCAAACAGACGTTCTTTATGTACTCAAACTCTATGAATTACAATCCTAAATATCCAAGGTACCTTTATCTCAAACAATGGTGGTCAAGAAGCCGGATTCAGGCAGTACACACATAGCTGTTTCGATTTTCCCTGTGTATAGTGGTACTTTTCAGACAGTGGTAGTAATGAGTTTAAAGACAATCTAAAAGTTACCTTCTACATTGAAACTCAGGAAAGCTTAATTTGCAATTGATCACATTTAATCAGAATGTCCCTAGGTCTGTCTTGCAACAAAGCCCTTGTTCTTTCTACTATACATTACAGACTCACCATAGATAAAATAGCATCTATAAGTTGATTCATTTTTTTACTAATTTGTTGAGTTATTTTATAGCTAAACTGTCAGCTATAAAAGTTGTTTTGTGTTTTGTAAATATGTACATTCTGGTTGTTTTAAAGATACATTACTGGAAAAAGTACAAAAATCTGTTCCCTTTTGCAGCTCACTGAAGAAATATATAAAGCCATACTCAAACAAATCAGATTTTAACCACAGTATTTTATTAAAAATTGGGTAATTCCTCAAAGTAAAACAACCTAATATGTTGCTTTATTATTTTCTTCTTGAAATTGTATATAATGCTAATGAATTAAAAATCCAAATCACCATGTAGCATATTTTTCTTATTCCAAAAGCATCCTGATAGTGGTGGAAGTCAAGCTTTAAAATTTTGGTAAGGTTACTGATTATTTAAATGGACAATGCCTAGCAATTCCTCCCCAACTCCATTTTTTCTTTGCTTTTCTGTATTATTATTATTATTATTATTATTATTTTGGTTAGAAAACACATAACACAACATCTACCTCCTTAACGATTTTAACTATACAGTACAGTACTGTACTGTATGTACTGTAATAGATGAACATTATTGTACAGCAGATCTCTGTAACTATTTTACATGATCATGGTGCATGATCCTTTTCGTGTGCATCTATGTTTATCAGGGATATTTGCCTATAGTTTTCTTTTCTCATAGTGTCTTTGGCTGGCTTTGGTATTAGACTACTGCTGAATAAAATGGGTTTGGGAATGTTCCTCTTCTTCATTTTTTTGGAAGCGTTTACGAAGGATTAGTATGAGTTCTTTACATGTTTGGTAGAATTCTCCAATAAAGCAATCTGGTCCTGGATTTTTCATTGTTGGGAGCCTTTTGACTATGATTCAACCTCCTTGTTGTTTGTAGGTCTGTTAGAACTTTCTATTTTTTTCATGATTTATTATTGGTAATATTTTCCTAGGAGTGTATCCATTTCTAAGTTATCCAGGTTGTTGGTATATAATTGTTCATAACAGCTTCTATAATCCTTTTTATGTCTGTAGTGTCAGTTACAATGTCTTGTCCTTCACTAATAATTTTATTTATCTAAGTCTTCTTTCTCTTTTCTTAAGCTAGATAACGATTTGTCAATTAAAAGAAATTCTCCAAAAAGCCTACTCATAGTTTTATTAATTTTTCTATATTAAGTTTTCTAGTCTTGATTTCATTTATTTCTTCTCTGACCTTTATTATTTCCTTCCTTCTGCTAACTTTCAGCTTAGTTCGTTCTTCATTTTCTAGTTCCATGATACAGAAAATTAGGTTACTTATTTAAGATAAGTATTTTGTTTGTTTATTTGTTTTGAGATGAAGTCTTCCACTACCCTCCAGGCTGGTGTGCAGTGGCGCAATCTCAGCTCACTGCAACCTCTACCTCCCATGTTCAAGCGATTCTCCTGTCTCAGCCTCTCGAGTAGCTAGGATTACAGGTGCCTGCCACCACACCTGGCTAATTTTTTTGTATTTTTAGTTGAGATGAGGTTTCACTATGTTGGCCAGGCTGGTCTTGAACTCTTGACTTCATGATCTGCCAGCCTCGGCCTCCCAAAGTGCTGGGATTACAGGTGTGAGCCACTGTGACCGGCCGATATAAGTATTTTTTTTTTCAACATAGCTGTATACTGTTACAAACTTTCCACTTAGTACTGCTTTTGCAGCATTCTTAAGTTTGTTGTTATGATTTGTTTCAAGATATTTTCTAATTTCCCTTTTGACATCTTCTGTGATTCCTTGGGTCAAATGTATTATTTAATTAACAGATATTTGTGAAATTTCAGTTTTTCTTTCAATATTTATTTCTTTTTAAATTAGTTTTTTTTATTAAATTTTCATGGGTACCTAGTAAGTGTGTATATTTATGGGGTACCTGAGATGTTTTGATACAGTTACGTAATGTGAAATAAGCACATCATGGAGAATGGGGTTTCCATCCCCTCAAGCATTTATTGTTTGGTTCATTCTATTTTGAATAGAGAAGATTACTGGAATGATTAAAGCTTTTTAAATTTGTTCAGATTTTTGTGTCTGACATGTGAATTATCCTGGATAATGCTTTGAGTGTGCTTGAGAGGGATGCCTGTTCTGCTGCTGTTAGGGGAATGTTCCGTATATGACTGTTAGGTACCATTGGTCTACAGTGTTTTCATATCTGCTATTTCCTTGTTGATTTTCTGTCTGGATTCTCTATCCGTTTTTGAAAGCGGGGTTGAAACTCCCCTAGTATTATTGTGTTACATTTTATTTCTGCCTTCCATTAAGTCGGTGTTTGTCATATATAAGTGAGTTTTCTGAAGTTGAGTAAATATACGTGTTTTACCTTCCTAGTAATTTGACTCTTGTTATTCTATGATATCTTTGTCTTTTGTGACATTTTTCGATTCAAAGTATATTTTGTCTGAGAGAAGTTTGGCCATTTCTAATTTTTTATTATCATTTACATAGAATACCTTTTCCATTCCTTTCCCTTTCAGCCTATGTGTTTCTTTAAATATAAAGTGGGTCTCTTGTAGAGATTGCATAGTTGAATCTTATTTTTATTTTTTAAATACATTTAGCCATTCTATTTCTCTTGATCAAAGAGTTCAACCATTTACATTTAAATTGATTACTGATAAGTGAGTACTTACAATTGCCTTTTCTTAGTTGTTTCTGTCTGTCTTGTAGCTCTTTAGTCCTTTTCTTTTCTTGCTCTCTTCCTTTGTAATTTTGTTGACTGTTTGCAGCTGTTGGAGGCCGCACAAATGTTTCTTATAATGAGGCATAATTGAAGCCTGTCAGTAACAATATGAACCTGTGGTCAATTAAGCAGCTGACCAATCGTTACCTCCTCCTTCTTGCTCTTGTTACCCAATAAATAAGAAGGGTTGTGGAAGCTCAGGGGCTGCCTTTCCTCACTAGAAGCAGGGAGCTCTCTTCTTCCCCATGCTAGCCTTTCCTTAAAATAGTTACTTTTGTTTTCTGTTATGATTTCTATGTTCGTCCGTTCATTCAGTCTTGTAATGACAGTCTCAAGCAGTAACAGCAGTAACTGCTGTAATGACGGTCTCAAGTAGTAGTAGTGGCAGTCGGCCACATTTTATAATTTCTATCTCTTTGCTGATATTCTCATTTTGATTATGTATCATTTTCCTGAGCTCACTGAGCACCTTAATGTCTGTCATTTTAAATTTTTTCACAGATAATCTATATACTTTCACTTCTTTATGACCAGTTTCTAGAGTTTTAGTTTGGAATGGACCACGTTTTATTGTTTTACCATGCGTCTTGTAACTTTTTGTTGAAATTCATTCATTTGAAAAACAACCACTTCTCCCCATCTTTGAAGATAGACATCATACAGGTAAGACCTTTGTCAATCAGCCAAGCTAGAGATTCTGAGGGTTTCTCCAACATTTTCTGTAGATGCATCTTCCTTGAACATCTGTGTATAAATTCCCAATTAGAGGAGTTCGCCAGTTTCTTTTTTAGGACCTTGTAATCACTTGCTCTTTCTGGTGTTTGCCCATGACACTGAAGATTCTTTGTAGCTGCCACAAGCCACACAGCTTTCATTTGTTCTCAACAGCTTCCAGGACCCTAGAGTATGCTGGGTCCTGTCAGGACTCTGAGTTAGGTGAGACACAAACAGTCCCTCAAACAGTGTCCGCAAAAGTCAGAAAGTTGGATAAACACTTCATTCTTCTCTTTACCCACTGAGAGAGAGCCCATCAAGTTGTTTCAGCCTCCATCTGCTTATTCCAAATCCTCTGCAGCAGCAGCAGGCAGCTCAGTTCTCTTTGCTTCTCAAGGGCCTTCAGACATCTAGAATACGCTGGGTCCTGTCAGCACTTTGACGCAGATGAGACAGAAACCGGTCCCTAGGGCTACCCTCCAAAAAACCAGAATGTTGGACACACATTCTACCTCTTTCCCTCTCCATGAAGAAGTTACAAGTTGAGGATTTTCTCTCACCCCTTCAGCACTGAGTTGAAATGAGGAAGACTTTGGCAAGAGAGTTTATGTAGTCTAAACATTTGTCTTTGTTCTCAGAGACTGTCCAGACTAAAACCTTTTTTGTCAGTGCTTAGATTCAGGCAAAACAGAAACTAGTTCATCTAGCAGCCCCCTGCAAAGTGTTGACTTTGGACATGTGTTTCAGTCTTTTATTTCCCTTTCCAGGGAGAAGACAGAAACTGGAAGTTCCTTCTCAATTGGACTTTACTGAGCTAGCAGGTAGGGCTCTAATGAGTGAGTGCCACAGTTTTTTTTTTGGTTTGTTTTTTGTTTATTTTGTTTTTTTTTTTTTTTTACCAGCTTTGATGCAGCTGATTTTGCATTCACCTAGGGTTCAGGAGACTTTTAACTGTTTTCACTGTTTCTCACAAAGGAAATTAATCTGTGTATTGTTGGATCAGTATCTCTGTTGGGGGGGAAGGGGATCTGGAGATTCCTATTCTACCATCTTACTGACATCAGCTTTCTACATTTTCATTTTGAGTCAGACTCATCTTCTAGTGATGTGGAGTAGCAGAGAGAGTGGGATATAGTTAATTCAATTGTGTTGGCAAAATCAAGGTTGTGTGGTTGGGATTAATTTATAAGTTTAGAATATGCCAAAAGTTCATCTGAAACATTTGAGACTTGAGTAATAATGTGGTATTTCAAACATATTTTCTAAATTTTGTTTGTTTTACTTCTATAGCAGTTATCTGGTTTGATCCTTAGAAAATACCTTTTGTAACTGTATCATCTTTGGTTTCACAGAGATAGTATCAGTGAGTTCTTTCTTATTACAAACAGATTCTTTGGCAGGATAATCTAAGGATTTTTCCTTAAATATTTTTGTGTCCTTTGTGAAACTATGGTAAAATGTATTGTCTAGTAGATTAGTAACTGTCTTTTATATGACAAGCTATGCATTTAAATGGTCTACATTACAATATTAGGAAAAAGGTTTTTCTTTCTGTAATTATATGCTTTTTAAAATTAGGCAATGATAATTAAATAACATTTTGCTTTAGTTTTTAAGAACATAATGAAAATATTAGTACTAAATTTATAAAAACTAAATTTATTCATTCAAGTAATTAAAAATTATATTATAGTTTTTTATGAAATTTCATTAATGGATTGTAACATTTTAATTGTATTAACCTATTTGTTTTAATAAGTAACATTAAATCAATCACAGAAGTAGTCTAAGAGATTTGAAGCACACAAATGAGCTATTTTTTCTACTTACATTGATTTATTAAGGCCTCACATAGGCATTCATTTCAAATACATGAATTCCTCCTGATCTGTTTTTTAAAGACATTAGTGATTTATGTGTTTCAAGGCAACTGTGGGGAAAAAAAGCCAAAAATATTAGTTTCCAAGGTTAAATTTTTAAAAAGAAAAAACAAAATCATTAAATAGTTGTATAATAAAATGTAGTGAAACAAGTTTGTGAGAAAGTAGCCTCTGATCATGAGAAGTTTATACTTGTATCAGCAAAATACTGCCCATTTGTTGACAAAAAATATGAATAGGAATTAAATATTTATTTAGACAATTTTTATAATTTGAGTTTTAGATATTTTGTACTAGACAGGAGAAATATTTGAGCTGTCTGTGAGCTATATGTATAAACGTATATTTCAAAGACAAACCTTGATATATTACCACCTAAAACCTCAACAAAAATTCTATTCTTAAAAATCAAGACAATTTATATCCCTGGAGCTCTACTAATTTCATAGCTGTATAGTTTAACTAAGTCAATAGGTTATACATAAAATATGGTTGAGATATTTTTCAAGACAGCTTTTCCTTATGCATGTGAGCAAGACTGTACAATAGAAATAGGATAAAGGGAATTCAAATAAAACCTTTTGTTTGTTATCATAGTTATTTATTATGTTCACGCTAATGAATAGTCACAGATGGTGTTTTTCTATTAACTTCAAGGCTTGAAAGCAAGATACGTCTTACAGTTCTTGTAGTGTGTGCCATTTATTTCTTGACTCTGGTTACAATGTTGAGTATGACACTAAAATCTCTAAGAGAACAATGTGATCTACTGAGAAACTAGTCAACTTTTGAAGCTATGGCACTCTTAAAGAATATTCCTTCTTTTTGGGATATTAAAGTGTCAAGCTTTTCTTAAGATAGAAGGAAAGAATTTAATAACAACAGTCTGAACTATCTACCTTTTACTCCTCCTAAGTGATCATGTAGAAAATTTTCATCTGAATAACTGGCAATCATGGTTATCTAATTATTATAAATTTCCTCCCTGTACAAAGCACAATTTTAAATAATTATTTCAATTATAATATATGTCTAATTTTTCTTATCCTAGGTAGTATTTTGAAAATTCTTAATATTAAACAGTTGTTCAGATAATTATAAAGGCTTTCTTGCCTCTCAAAGATAACCTAGATATAATCATATTCTTCAATATTATAATTATTAAATAAGAGAGTACCTTTCAGGAATTTCTTTTTGAAATTAAATACTAAAAATGATGTTCGAAATGCAAAAATAACTGAAGAACTCTTATCCATCACATGTACAATCCAAAATTCACCTGGAACCAGCCAAGAAAATTAAATATATGTGCATTTAATACACACATATATGCAGTTTATGTGTGTGTGTGTGTGTGTGTGTGTGTGTGTATTTGAGCAGTTAAAATACATGTCACTAACCTCATTCCCCATGCTAACGTTTATAGGAAAAGGCTTAATATTCAGCCAGTACACACTGGTTTGAACACAGTAGTTGTTAATTTATTGAATGAATTCCAAATGGTTTCAAATACTTTTCAGAGTTGCAGCTGCCCTTGGCCTATACTCCAAAAGCCTCAGTCCTCTTAATAATGCTGCACTCAAAGGATATACAGATGGAGAGTTTCAGAATCCTGCTTCCGTGCTGTGTCTGGTGCTCAAGTTCATCAGGCAGTACACATACCATATTGGTTGTTAAGTATTGCATATAGCCTGTGCATAGGAGAGCTTCTAATTCTTTATTTCAAGTATTTTCAATCTAATATTAGACAAACATCTAATGAGCTACGTTTTAGAACTGTTACATTGTTACATTTCTATATGCTTCTGTGGTTAGGGTAAAACAGCTATAACATAACACCGACATTAATTTAAATATTCTGTTTTTATCATTTTTAGTTGCATTTAAATAAAAATAAATTGATAAAATGTAAAGAGCAAACATGTGTAAAGACAAAGCAGCTAAGAGAAACTTACAGTCATTATCAATATAAATTTGTTGAATTCAATCATACTTATATTTCAATTATTTCTAAAGATACTACTGTGTTGTACCAATGTCTAGAAATTATCAGTTCATCATAACGTAATTATAAAACTATGTTCTGTGTCCTTAGTGAAAGAACTGTTTAATACATTTTATATATATTTTTATCAAAAATATTTAAAATGTAAAAAGACTTTAAGCTTAAATTAGACATGACTAGCAGATTACTCCTTAACAGTAATTGTTAAATAGGGTGTTGCCCTTCCTTGATAACTAAGTATATGGATCGTTTGCTTTACTTGAAAGGCAGTTTTCCTGGTTTCAAGTACAATGTCTGAATTCAAACAAAAGTATCTGATAAATAATTGTACCTTAGCTGAAGGTTAGATATTATATAGCCACTGTCAAAAGAGAGAATAATAATAAATTGCATAAGCATATGGTAAGCCAAATACTATGAACTCTTAAAAATTCAATGAGTTATTATTTAATCATGCATGTTTACCTGTGTTTATTGTGTTATTTGTATGTGGGGAAAATAGAACAAAAATCCAGACAAAAATACATACAAACAAACCAACACATCTTACATGCACACACATGCAAACACACACACACATACACATATACACACTGACATGTTTTCAAAAAGAATGAAGAAGATGCTTTAGAGAAAAATGTTTGTTTGTCAACTGTTTTAACTTTGCTACTGTAACAATATGATCTGAGAATCTCCAAGAAGTAGGCACTCTGTATATTTTCACAAACATATATAACCAGTGAATATTTTTCCAAGTCACTCCTTGACTTGGTTTATTTTAGGTGTCAGTTTGACTGTACTAAGTAACACCTAGAGAGTTGGTAAAGCATTACTTCTGGTTGTGTCTCTGAGGGTGTTTTCGGAAGAGATTTGTGTGTGAGTCAGTGAACTCAGTGGGGGAAAATCCACCCTCAATGTGGTCAGGCACCATTCCATTGGCTAGGGGCTCAGACAGAAGAAAAAAGAGAAAAACATTTCGTTACTCCCTCCTTCTCTCTCTCTTTTTCTTCTGGATCTGGGACACTCTTCTCTTCCTGACTTTGGACATCAGGACCTCAAGCTCTGTGGCCTTGGTACTCCAGGACTTATACCAGTTGCCCTCTGGGTTCTCAAGCCTTTGGCCTTAGAATAACACTATTGACTTCCCTGGTTCTCAGGCCTTCGGACTTAGACTGAACCACACTATAAGAATCCCAGGGTCTCCAACCTGCAGTTGGCCTGTTGTGGGACTTCTCAGCGTACATGATTATGTCAGCAAATTCCACTAATAAATCCCCTCTCATATTATCTCTCCATATATCCCATTGGTTCTGTCTCTCTGGAGAAGCCTGACCAATACACTCCTGTAAACATCTTTCAAATCAAGACTGCTAATTTACATCAATTTATTAGTTATCTGCAGCTGTAGAAATCAAACAAAGTATATTTAACATTTACAGGTGATTACTCGATACAGCAGAATTTAACAATACTTAGCATATGTTGAGGCAATACAATTACATGATTCATTACAATACTTTTTAGCCAATAAAACTATTAAAAGATATTCTTGCCTTTTCACTTTGAAGTAGAACGTGAGTGTGCAGGATAAGAGAGAAGACATCTTTTTCTTTCTTCCTACTTCTGATTTTCCAGCTCAGTGTTATATTAGAGGCTTCCCACTGCACAGATGGAAGAGGAGGGGAGAAAACTGTAAAGGGGTCTGTGATAGAATGAGGATCATAACATTTAAAATTAAAACAGGATTTCTAAGAGCTGAAGTACTAATAATAATAATAAACATTGAAACACGGCTACAATTTAATTATTGTAAATGGGACAGGATGGTCCTACATGTTCACCCAATTGATCCCTGGTACCTCCAAACTCATTAATGATGTAATCTTAATCATGTCTCTCCAATTTCCTGGGCCATTATAATTTCAACTGTGAAAATAAAAGAAATTAGCTTTAGCACTAAGAGCCTGGATTAAATAATTTCTTAGGGCCATATTTACTTTTAGTATTAATAGTTTTATTATTATTCCCTTAATAAATTGAAATAGAAAATGATATTTGTAATTTCTGTCATAGGAAACAATATGATTGAAAATGAAAATATCTTTTGCTTCACTTCTTATACGTAAGTAAAAAGACATCCTTTAACATCAGTATGTTTTCTCTAAGGTATCATTGATGAAGTCATGTTTTCCAAAACTCTTTGTGTGAATTCTGTGCACTACTGGAGCAAGCACGATGGCATTCACAGGACACATGGACACAGTGTGGCTATAGCTGCAGAGGACATTTTTTATTGTTTATTTTATTAGGTCCTTTGCTTCATGTCTAAAATGATTACATGATTGAATGTATCAGTAGCCTTTAGTAAGCCATAAATACTCAACTTAAATTTGAAAACTGTATGCAACTGGGGATGTTTATTCTAGAATGAAGTATGACAAACATGAAGACCATCCTAAAATATTGAAGGAAAGTAATGTGGGTGAGGCTAAGGTTTATTCTGTGATTTCTGAGAGAATAACTAAGATTCAGTGAGCTTTCTTAGTTCTGAGGGAGAGTGTCTAAGAATGGAATAGATAAACAGAGGAAGTACTGATGTTCTTATCAAAGCAGTTGCTCACACTGAACAAAAATTAATGTTTTATCCCTTAAATGAGTATGTGTTTAAATGACTTCTAGTGGTCCTTTACATTACAAGATGGTTGTCATTGTTATTACTGAAAAACAAGAGCATTTGCTATTTAAGAATGCATTCTTCCTAATATATTTTAACAAACTGGCTTGTTTTTTTTAAAAACTGCTATCACGTTTATTCAGCTCTGTGTATTACAGTTATAGATTTACTGCAATTGCCTTATAGCTGGTTTTCTTCTCTGTGATTCCTACCACTCAGACAAATTCTTCAGGCTATCTCCAGAGCAAATCTCTGCTCTGAACATGAAACTACCCTGTCACCTTTTGTCCTCTCAGCTTTTCACTCCCAGCTCTGCCTATTGAAATCTTAGCTTAAATGCCATTTCCTTATAACACTTTGGCAGGATGCCATCTTTCTCTACCCACCTCTCTCTCTTTAACCACAATCCTTTGATTAATTTTTCTTTTTAAATAATTCTTTTTGGGTATGTGGTACAGTATTTCTCCATTAAATTTCCAACTCATTAAGGACCAAAGACATGCTTATTTATTTTTATATTCTCCAGTGTCTAGCAGTAGTTTAAAAATATACACTTTTTAGTTTTTATTATGACAATTTCAAATGGGTGATGAAAACAGAATAGTATCATTACCTGTACCCATCACCTATATTCAATAATTTTAATACATGATCAACTTCATTTAAAGTCCCCCATAATCTGGCGTAAAGAGATATGTATTGACTTATTGATCCTAAATATTTAACACAAATCTCATGCTTCAGGAAATGCAGGTAAATCTCATTTTCTTGAATTGAAAGTATATGTGCATTATGTCAATATGAGGCATCACTCATGTGTTTTTCACCTTTATATGTATCCTGTATTATTCTGATTCATTTGATGGTGTAGCTGAAGAGTTAGAACATAGGAATAATTTGGTGGCATAGCACAGTGGCTCACTCCTGTAATTCCACCACTTTAGGAGGCTGAGGCAGGAGGATTACTTGAGTCCAGGAATTTGAGACCAGCCTGGGGATCACAGTAAGATTCTGTCTCTACAAAACTTTTAAAAATATTGTCCAGGTATGGTGGTGCATGCCTGTAGTCCCAGCTACTTTGGAGGCTGAGGTAGGAGGCTCCTTTGATTCCTGGAAGTCAAAGCTGCAGTAAGCCATGATTGTGCCGCTGTGCTCTGTGACAGAGAAAGGCCCTGTCAACAACAACAACAACAACAACAACAACAACAACAACAACAGATGATTTGGAGACTCCATTAAGACAGTAATAACTTTTAGTGTTTATTTCATTTTTTACTTAGAAAACAGTTTTATTAAAATATAACTCACATACAATTAAATTTACCATTCAAAGTGCAAATGTAGTTTTTAGGGCTTTCAGTTTAGTGCAACCATCATCACTCTCATACCAAAACATTTTCATCAACCAAAAAAGAAGCCCCATAGACTCATAGACATTAGCAGTCACTCTCCATTTCTACTCTTCTTCAGCCCAAAAACCACTACTGTCTGTCTTCATAGATTTTCTTATTCTGGATATTTCAAATAAATAAAATAATAAAATGCATGGTCTTTTGTGTCTAGCTTTTTTTATTTAACATAATGTGTTTAAGGTTCATCTGTGTTGTAGCATGAATCAGTACTTCATTCTTTTTATTGTTAAAAAAAGTATTCTATTGTATGGATAGACATTTTTTTTTTTATTCAGCCATCAGGTGGTAGATATTTAGGTTTTTCTTCTCCATCTTTTGGTTATTTTGAATAATGCTGCTATAAACATTTCTGTATAGATCTTTTGGTGAATATATGTTTGCAACTTTTTTGGATATATATCTAGAAGTGGAAAGGCTAGATCATATGACTTCATGTTTAACATTTCAGGAAACTTCCAAAGTGCTTTCCAAAATACCTGCACCAGTTTACAATACCATCATCAGTGTATCTGAGGCTTCCAATTTATTTGCATCTTTACTGACCCTTCTTACTGTTGATTGTTCTGATTTTAGTCATCCTAATGGGTATGAAATGACACCTAATCATGTTTTTGCTTTACAGTTCCCTAATAACCAATAATGCTGAACATCTTTTTATGCACATGGCCATTTATATGTCCCTTTTAAAGAGATGCTTATTCAAATCCTTTGCACATTTTTCATTTTGTCTATTTATTTTTTATTGTTTTTGAGTTGAAAGAGTTCTTTATCCATTGTGGATACAAGTGTCTTGTCAGATACATGAATTGTATCCCATTTGGTGGGTTGTATTTTCACATTTTTTGATGGCATTTTTGTAACAAAAAAGGTTTTCATAATGAAAAATCGCAATTCATTTATTTTTTTCTTTTGTCATGAGTGCTTTTGTTGTATAAGAAGCTTTTGCCTAATCCAAGGCAAATACTTTCTCCAATGTATCTTCTAATAATTTTGTAGATTTAACCCATATATTTAAGCCTATAGGATACATTTTGAGTTAATTTTTACGTATGTTTTAAAGTAGGGGTTCAACTTCACTCTTTTGCATATGGCTTTCCAGTTGTTTCACCACCAATTGTTGAAAAGACTGTTCTTTTCTGATTATATTTTCTTGACACCCTTGTAGAATATCAGTTTGCCTAAGTGTAAGAATTTATATCTAGACTCTCAATTCTATTACATGATCTTTATGTCTATCTTTATACCAGTTTCACACTGTCACACACTGCAGCATTGTAGTAGGTTTTGAAATTAGAAAGACTGAATATTCCTCTTTTGTTCTTTTTCAAGATGTTTTTGTCTATTCTGTACCCTTTGAATTTCCATATGAATTTTAGAATTCATTCACCAATTTTTTCAATAAACTTGGCTGAGATTCTACTGGAGATTTCACTGAATCTGTAGATCACTTCGGTGACTATTTCTGTCTTTACAATATTAATCTCCTATCCATGACATGGAGTGTATTTCCGGTTATTTAGATCTTCAATTTCCTTCAGCAAAAACAAATAATCCAACAAAAAATAGACAGACTTTTTTTCTTCCAAAGAAGACATATAAATCATCATCAGAAGTGTTAAAAGGTGCTCAATGTCACTAAGCATCAAAGAAATGCTATTCAAAGCTGCAATGAGATATTACCCCACAACTGTCAGGGTGGCTGATATATTCTCACTGATATATATCAGTGATATATATCAGTGATATATATCAGTGAGAATATGGGGAAATTAGAGCCATTATACACTGTTGGTGGAAACATTATACATTATAAGGCTGTATAATGTTGTAGGAGGCATTTTTCATTCTTCACCAGCAGTGTATAATGTATAGTGGGAGCTGTCATAGATTATACACTCATGGAATGGCTATTAACCAGGTTGCTGTAATTCAGTTTGTTGAGAATACCTTATGTAAACACACACTTTAGTAAAATAACTTGGTGAGTTTCACATTAAGTCTATCTTCTTAGCAGGTCATTTAAATGATAAAGAGTTATCATTGAATATGTGCCACTTGAAACATGATTTAGCAATTTCTTTCATTCACATAACTTCTGTGTTAATCCACATGCTGGTAACTTTTTAAAACTGTATATTTATTAATTACTTTTCTCCTGAATTCTGTATTTCTATATCCAGTTGTCTCTATACATATATGTTCATGTCTTATAGGTATCTTAAATACCATATATCAGAGCAGAGGTTATCAACTATTCCCAAAATTTATTCTTCTCCAGGGTTTCCACCTTAAATGATTCAACAAAACTTTAGTTAATCAAAATAGAATTGTAAGGATAATCTGAAATTTCCTCTTCTCCCCTCATATTCAATTTCAAGTTTGTCACTAAGCTGCATTGTGTTTCCAACCACTTCATAAGAAATACTTGAATAAATCTTTCTGTTTCCATTCTTTCAACCTTAGTCTATTATCCTTTTTTCGAATTACTTTAATTAATTAATTAATTAATTTTTTTTTTTTTTTTTTTTTTTTTTTTTTTTTTTTTTTGAGACGGAGTCTCGCTCTGTCGCCCAGGCTGGAGCGCAGTGGCGCGATCTCGGCTCACTGCAAGCTCCGCCTCCCGGGTTCCCACCATTCTCCTGCCTCAGCCTCCCGAGTAGCTGGGACCACAGGCACCCGCCACTACGCCCGGCTAATTTTTTGTATTTTTAGTAGAGACGGGGTTTCACCATGTTAGCCAGGATGGTCTCGATCTCCTGACCTCGTGATCCGCCCGCCTCGACCTCCCAAAGTGCTGGGATTACAGGAGTGGGCCACCGCGCCGGCCGATTTACTTTAATATTTTACTGCAAAAATCTCTATTTTCTCTGACTCTAGTCTTAATCTCATAAATGTATCCCCCATACTGAAGCTTGAGTGTTTAGTTTTAAGCACACATATAACAATGTTCCCCTAATTCTCAAAGTCCATTTGTTGTTTCACATTTTCCTTAGCTAAAATCTAAATGCTTTCATTTGATTTGCAAAACCTCCAGTGACTGGGTTTCTACCGACATCAGCAGCCTCATCCTTCCTTTCCTCCCTTCCAATACTTAATGCTCCAGTCATATAGAATTTTTTTATTATACCCAATATGCCACACTTTATTTTACAACTAATGCCCATGATTCAGTCAGCTTTTAATACTTATGTGAATTTGTGCATTGAATTTCTAACTAACCTATTTTGGGGTTTACCTCCTCTCATAAATATACCACGTTTCATTTATTTTATTTTTTGCACTTGAATATTTTGGCACTTTTAATTGGGTAACATGATAAACTAGAATTCTCTTATGCAAGCTGGGATGTATGGTCACTCTGCTTTTAATTCATCCCCTGTATTTTTCCTAGAATAATTTTTCTAAAAGATTGATTAGATAATTGTGCTTCTTCATGTTTAAAATTATTCAATGTCTTTCTGTTGATCTCAAATTAATCCACTTCTCAAGCCATAAAAGGTCATTCATGCCCACTTCTCTACCTAACTTTCACCATTGCCTTTCTCCCTTATGAATTTCCAAGCGTTTGCAGTTCTCTGAAAGTGTCTTATTCAGCCACAGTGAGCCTCTGAGTGAAACTTACTCTGCTGTTGCCTCTGAAACAACTTTACTTATTCTTTAGTTAAATCCCATCTTATTCTTATACGTCATTCTCTTGTGAAATTACCTTTCTGTAGTCTTGGCCACATGCTCCTTCTATAGGTTAAAATAATATCTGAATATTCTTATAATTGAGGTTTTATCAATTCTATTAAATTTTACTGAGTTCAAAATACTCTTAAAGACTTTGAGGAAACAGGAGGTTATGAAATTCCTGCCTTCATTTGTTTTATACTCTAAGAGAAGAGAAAAACAATAAAATAGTTAACATAGAAATTATGTAATTTCTGAGAGGAATTAAGAGCCTAGGTCTATTAATAGAAGTGAGTATTTTGTACTGAATAGTGAGAGAAAAGCCTCGGCTTGTATTATAATAATTCCCAGTTAGACTTTGGGTACTTTGAGGGTAGAAAATAAGTATTTTATTTCTGTATCTTCAGTAAGTAGCCTAGTTCTATCTCCTTGTGAATATTTTATAAATTTTTATAGTTAGTTATTAATGACTGTTCAAATATTCCTTCAAATAATCTTAATGTTTTTCTTTTAATATTGTTTGATAATTTTTTTACATGTTTCATTGTTTTTCACATTTTATGATTTTGTAAGAGTCAAACTAAAGGCAAGGGAAAGAAAAATGAGGTAGTTATGATAAAAATTGGAAAATAATGTAAATTAATGTCAGTATAAAAAGAAATTTTTTTTTTCAAGTATAGGACACACAAGAGTTTTTAAAACAGTAATATATAATAAATTAACTTGAATAGGAATATAAGAGCTTGAGCATAAAAAATGGAGATTTTCTACTAAATGGTTTATAATTTTTCTAGACTGAAGTAAATTTGTGGGTTCCTTTATGTTACTACAGAAAAATTTTGCAGAGAATAAATGCAACTTTGAGCATTTGACCCATTTGTTAGCAGTATCAATGGTGGAAAAACTGCTGGCAAATCTTAACGTTCTAATTAACAAATCTGTTAAATTCTCTACTTCTTGAAAATTGAGAATCCATACTTAGTCTAAATAATTATATGTTCTCTTGTAAAGAAAAAGCAACTAATTTAAGTGTAGCCACTAATTTTAAGCCTAGGTGAAAGATAAAAGTAAAAATTTTCCTATTGCTTAAGAGATAAAATGATAATAGTAGTGTCTTGGTCAAAGAGAATGGTAACTTAACTAATGGTAACAATGATAACAAACCTTCTTATTTTAATTGTGTATAGTTATATCAGCACACACACAAAAGTATGTCTACATTTTTTATGACTCATCTACATTTCAGTGCCCCAGTGCAATGGTATTATCACTACTTCATTGGAAAATGTTATTTGCGACTTGACTTTTAAATAGCATGTATTCATAGGAAAGCCATTTTACTCCCTAATCTTTAGAAATAATATTGGATAGGGTTTTTAAAATGTCAGAAAACATTTTTCATGGGGTTTCATTGTATATGTTTAAAATTAAGCATTAATACTTTATACAATTTGTTTTAATTTCCTTTCTAATATTTTTTGGGCTGTCCCAATGTAGCATGTAAAACCAATCCAGAACAAAACAAATAAACAAAATGCATAAGAAAACATTTTTTAGGTTAAAAATAACATATTGCATTTTTTTTGAAAGGAAATAGTTGAACTAGAATTCTGCTTGATTCATTCACAACTTTAAATAAAATAATATAGAGTTTCAACGTCAAATGTAAGTTAATAATAAAGAGGAGGTGGAACAAGATGGCAGAATCGGAGCTTCTAGTAATTGTAATCCCTACAGGAACACCAAAATTGAACAACTATCCACACAAAGAAGCAACCTCCTATGACCCAAAAATCAAGTGAGTGATCACAAAACTGGCTTTTGAGATCTTATTAAGGAAGCAGGCACTGAAGAGGATAAGAAAGACAGTCTTGAGTTGCAGGTACTGTCCCTCCCCCATCCCTTGGCAGTGGCCTCATGGTGTGGAGAGAGAATTTATGTGCTTGCGGGAGGGAGAGGGTAGTGATTGTGGAACTTTGCATTGTAACTCAGTGCTGTGCTGTTACAGTGGAAAGTGACATGGGCAGAACTCAGCTGGTGCTCCTGAAAGGAGCATTTAGACCAGCCCTAGACAGAGGCGAATCATTCATCCCAGCACTCAGAATTTGAGTTCCAGAAAGCCTTGCCACTGGCTTGGGAAGCTGGTTAACCATGATCAGCAGTTTTGTTGCAGGTGCTGTTCACTTTTGTCTACACCCCACTTCTATAGTTTTTACTGCTCAAACAAAATATAGGGCTGCTGGTGAAACTGTTCAGCCACAAGGCTCTGTAAGAGAACACTGAAAAGCTAACGTGTACTGAGGTCCTAAATAAACTTGAAAGGCAGTATAGGCCACAAGGACTGCAAATTCCTGGGCAAGCCCTGGGCAAGCTTGGAGCCAGTGGACTTGGGGGACATGTGACCTAAAGAGACACCAGTTAGGACAGCCAAGGAACTGCTTGGATCATCACTCATGAAAGCACAGGCAATACAGTTTGCAGCTCCCAGAGATACTCCTTTCCTCTGCTTGAGGAGAGGAGATGGGAGAGTAAAGAGGTCTTTGTCTTGCAAATTAAATACCAGCTCACACACAGTAGAATAGGGCACCAAGAAGAATCCTGAGGCTCCCATTTCAGGACTTAACTACCAGATATTGCTAGAGACACCCTGGGCTAGAAAGGAACCTGCTGCCTTGAACAAAAGTACCTAGTTTTAACAGGTTTCATTGCCTGCTAAATAAAGGGTCCTTGGGCCCTTAATAATCAGCAATGCTATCCAGGTAGTACACACCACAGGCCTTGGGTTAGACTCAGGATCAGGCTGGCTTCAGGTCTGACCTAGCACATTCCCAGCTGTGGTGGCTACAGGGAAAGATTTCCAATTGAGGAAATAAGAGAAAAGAGTAAGGGGACTTTGTCTTGCATCTTGGGTACCAGCTCGGCTATAGTGGAGTAGAGCATCAGATAGGCTTCCCGGGGGCTCAATTCCAGGCTTTGGCCCTGGCATGACATTTCTGGACATGTTCTGGGCCAAAGGAGTTTCTATACCCAAAAGGGAGAGACCCAAGCCTGACAGCATTCACCAAAAGCTGACCGAAGAGCTTTTGGGCTTTGAGTGAACATTGGTGGTAGCTAGGCAGTACTCGCTGCAGACCTAGGGTGGTAGTGGTCATAGGGAAAGACTTTTCTGCATGAGGAAAGGGGAGGCAAGAGTGGGAAGGACTTTGTAATGTAGCTTGAATGCCAGCTCCTCAGCAGTAATATAGAGCATTGTGTAGATTGCCAAGGTTCCCAACATTAGGCACTGGCTCCTGGATGGCATCTCTGGACCAGCCTGGGGTTGGGGCAAACTAGACACCCTGAACAGAAGAAAACAAGCCTGGATGGATTTGCCACCTAGTTATTTTAGAGCCCTTGGGCCTTTAGTGAACATAGTCAGTAGCCAGGTAGTCCTCATCACGGGCCTTGCGTGAGACCCAGTGCTGTGCTGGCTTCAGATCTAACCCAAAACAGTCCCAGTGGTGGTGGCTAGGGGTGTTTATATCACTTTTCCCCTAGCTCCAGGCAGATCACCATAGAGAGAGAGGGACTTTCTTTGGGGCAAAGTAAGAGAAGAGAACAAGAGTCTTTGCATGGTAATTCAGGAAATTTTCCCAGATCTTACCCAAGACCATCAAGGTGGTACCTGTATAAGTCTACAAGAGCCACGCCATTATGGGGCTTGGGGTCTCCCCTAATGCATATGTAGCTGCACTGAGCAAAGACTTAGATCACAACACCTAAGTCCATTCAGATACTTGGAAAACCTTCTCAAGAGGGATGGGTACAAGCAAGCCCAGACTATGGAGACTACAATAAGTACCTAATTCTTCATTGTTCAGACACTGATAAATATCTAAAAATAACAAGATCGTCCAGGAAAACATGACCTCACTAAATGAGCTAAATAAGCATCAATGTCCAGTCCTAGAGAGACAGAGATATGTGACCTTTAAGACGGAGAATTCAAAAATAGCTGTTTTGAGGAAGCTCAATGAAATTTATGATAACATGAAGAAGGAATTCAGGATCTTATCAGGTAAACTTAACAAAGATATTGAAATAATTAAAAAGAATCTTGTAAGTATCCCAGAGATAAAAAATACAATTGACATACCACAGAATGTATCAGAGTCTCAACAGCAGAATTGATTAAGCAAAAGAGAGAAATTTTGAGCTTGAAGATGGGCTATTTGAAAGTATACAGTCAGAGAAGACAAAAGGAAAAAGAGTAAAAAGAATGAAGCACACCTAGAGAATCTAGAAAAAATAGCCTCAAAATGGCAAATCTAAAAGATATTGGCTTTAAAATGGAGACAGAGAGAGAGATATGGGTAGAAAGTTGATTTAAAGGGAAATAACAGAGAACACCCCAAATCCAAATAAACTTTGCAATATTCAAGTACAAGAAAGTTATAAAACACCAAGCTGATTTAATCCAAATAAAACTACCTTAAGACATGTAATAATCAAACTCCCAAAGGTTATGGATAAAGAAAGGACCCTAAAAGCAGCAAGAAAAAAGAAATGAATAACATACAAAGGAGCTCCAATATGTCTGGCAGCAGACTTTTCAGTGGAAACTTTACAAACCAGGAAAGGCTGGTATGACATCTTTAAAGTGCTGAAGGGAAAAAAAAAATTATCCAGAATAGTATATCCAACAAAAATATCCTTTAAAATTGAGAAATAAATACTTTCCTAGATAAACAAAAGCTGGGAAATTTTATCAACACCAGATCTATCCTACAAAAATTGCTAAAAGGAGTTTTTCAATTTGAAAGAAAAGGATGTTAATGAGCAATAAGAAATCATATGAAGGTATAAAGCTCAGTAGTAATAGTAAACACACAGAAAAACACATAATATTATAACACTGTAATTGTGGTGTAAAAATTCTCAACAAAATACTAGCAAACAGAATTCAACAATACATTAAAAATATAAATCATTATGACCAAGTAGGATTTATCTCAGGAATGCAAGGATGGTTCAGCATACACAAATCAATAAATGTGACACATCATATCAACAGAATGAAGGATAAAAAAAATAATCATTTCAATTGATGCTGGATAAGCATTTGATACAATTTAATTATCTCTTCATGATAAAAATCCTCAAAAACTTTGCATATTCAGCTATGCTGGACCTACCTCAACACAATAAAAGCCACTTGTGACAAATTCACAGCTAGTACCATATTGAACAGGGAACAATCAAAAGCCTTTCTTCCAGATTCTGGAACATAGCAAGGCTGCCCATTTTCATCACTGTTATTCAACATAGGACAAGAGGTTATTGATAGATTAATCAGACAAGAGAAAGAAAGAAATATCCAAATTGTAAAGGAAGATGTAAAATGATTCTTGTTTTCAAATGATAAAATCATATATTCAAAAAAACCTAAAGCCTCCATCAAAGAAGTATTAGAACTGATAAACAAATTCAGTAAAGTTTCAGAATACAAAATCAACCTACAAAAATCAATAACATCTCTATATACTAATTGTGATCAATGCAAAATAAGTCAAGAAAGTAATTCCATTTGCAATATCTACAAATAAAATTAAATACTTAGCAATTAACCAAAAAAGTTAAAGATCTCTGCAATAAAAATGATAAAACACTGAATCAAGAAATTAAAGAGGACACAAAAAATGAACAGATATAGGCCAGGCACAGTGGCTCACGCCTATAATCCCAGGACTTTGGGAGGCTGGGGAGGGCGATCACGAAATCTGGAAATCAAGACTATCCTGTCCAACATGGTGAAACTGTGTCTCTACTAAAAATACAAAAATTGGCCATGCGTGGTGGTGCATGCCTGTAGTCCAACTACTCGGGAGGCTGAGGCAGAAGAATAGCTTGAACCCAGGATGCGGAGGTTGCAGTGAGCTGAGATCACACCACTGCACTCTAGCCTAGGTGACAGAGTGAGACTGTCTCAAAAAAAAAAAAAAAAAGATACTTAATGTTTAATGACTAGAAGAATCAATATTGTTAAAATATCCATACTACCCAAAGCAATCTACAGAGTCAATGAAATTCCTACCAATATACCAATGGCATTCTTCACTGAAATAGAAAAACCAATCCTAAAATTTATATGGAACTACAAAAGGCCCAGAATAGCCAAATCTATCATGAGTGAAAAGAACAGAAGTGAATGAATCACATTACATGATTTCAAATTAGAATACAGAGCTATAGTAACCAATGGTTACTGTAGCTTGGTACTGGCATAAAAACAGACACATAGAGCAACGGAGTAGAATAGAAAACCAGATGCAAATCCATACATTTACTGTGAAGTTATCTTTGATAAAGTTGTCAAGAACATGCATTGGGGAAAGGATGGTCTCCTCAATATATTGTGCTGGATAAACTGGGTATCAATATGCAGAAGAATGAAACTAGACCCCTATCTTTCAGCACGTACAATAATCAAATTAGAATGCATTAAAGACTTACATCTAAGACCTCAACCTATGAAACTACTAAAAGGAAATATTGAGAATAGTCTCTAGGACATTGGTCTGGGCAAAGATCTTTTTGAGTAATACCCTATAAGCCCAGGCAACCAGTGCAAAAATGGACAAATAGAATCACATCAAGTTAAAAATGTTCTGCACAGCAAAGGAAACAATCAACAAATTGAAGGGACAACTCACACAATGGGAGGAAATATTTGCAAACCATCCATCTGACAAGGTATTAATATCCAGGATATATAAGGAGCTCAACTCAATAAGAAAAAAATCAAAGAATGCAATTTAAAAACTGGGCAAAAGATCAGAATGGACATTTCTTTAAAGAAGGAATACAAATGGCAAACAGGTATATGAAAACGTGTTCAACATCACTGATTATCAGAGAAATGTAAATCAAACTACAACGAGTTATCATCACACCACTGTTAAAATAGCTTTTGTCAAAAAATAGGCAATAATGAATAATGGCAAGGATGTGGAGAAAAAGAAACCTCTGTATGCTGTTGATATGGACATAAATTACTACAACCACTGTTGAGAACAGTTTTGAGCTTCTCCAAAAAACTAAAAATAGAGTCACCATATCATTCCGCAATCCCACTGCTAGGCATTACAGTGCGGTGGCACAATCATGGCCCAAAGCCCAAATCCTATATCACATTCTTTCTGATAGCGTCATACAAAGATGGCCAGGGTGTGTCTTCTCTCTTGCTGCAATGAGTGATAAATGCTAGTTGTTCAACTAAAAAATAATAATAAGTTAATAAAATATATTCTTAAAACAAATGAGGTTAAACACAGAGAAACTATCATGTTAATAACATTTCTTAATGTAATATTTTTAGCTTCATGACCTAGCATATGTTACAAATCACTCTCTTTTGGCTAAGGTGTCAAAGGTCTATTTGAATATTTGCTGGATAAGATATTGCCTTACTCTATACTTGGTTTTATAAAGCCCTTGTAAATGAGGACACAATATCAAGGCCAATTCTTCATGAGTAAGTCAAGTATTCACAAATTTGATTCACTTTTCAGGTATATTTATTCAGTAATAGTTTAAAACATCATTTGGTATATATTGTAAGAAATTTAAAATTAAAAAATGTAGTTAGTGCAATTTCGGTAAAGATTCTCAGCATTAGCAAACAACTTAATCAGAAATAGTCATCAAATACTGTGGATATTATCCATACTTGTATAATACTTTTAGGATAAAATTTAGGACACTGTACTTTTTACAGCACTTCCCCTTTGTTATGGAGAAATGAAATGAAAAATTTATTGAACAACCAATACTAAATATTACCAATGAAGAAAAAGATGGATGGAACATAATGTGATATGAAAATAATACTAGACAAGAAAGGATTAAATGTATGACTTAATCTTTTTAATATTTTTGTGTTCAGACACTTCAAAAGCCATATTAAATGCCAAGATTTAAAAGTAAGAAATCTAAAGGCATAATCAGAGTGGAATTACATATTTTACCCTCCTAAAAAGAAATTTAAAGTATGTAAAGTAAGTTATATAATTAATTTTAACATATTTGTTTCTACTTAAAGATCCCTGTAATAATGAAGACACATTCCCTCTAAAGTATAGAAAATTATGACTTGTGAATAAAAATAAAAATATATATGGGAAGAAATTATTTTAAAATTCCATGGAGATGCAGAAAGATTTACTTAAAACAAGAAATTTAAGTTATTTTTTTCTAGTCATATCACAACAATATTTTGCTTTATCTTAGGTTTTATTCAGCTGCAAATATCTAGACTGAGGACACAGTTATCATTGAGACTAAGCATTCTGCATTCTATACTACTCCTGCCCTAAAACAAGTAAATATAAGTTTTGGAATTCTCTTTCTTTCTTTCTTTTCTTTCTTTCCTTTCTTTTTGACAGAATCTTTTTTTGTTTCCAAGGCTACAGTACAGTGGTGCAGTCATGGCTCACAGCAGCCTTGACGTCTGGGGCTCAAAGGATCCTCTCAGCTCTGTCTTTAAGGCAGTTGGAACCACAGTCATGGGCCACCAAACCCAGCTAATGTTTTATTATTTTTAATGTTTTGTGAAGTTGGGGTCTCCCTATGTTGCCCAGGCTGGTCTTGAACTCCCAAGCTGAAGTAATACCCCTGCCTGGGCCTCCCGCAATGCTGGGATTCCAGGCATGAGATACCATGCCCAGCCAAGTTGTAGAATACTGATGCATATTTCCTCCATGTAATTCTTAAACATAGATGTAAATATCTGCCCAATTTTCAATAATAATTCCTACTTAATAGCCTTAATTTTATCATTTTACCATGGATCATACTATATTACAATGATTATTTGATCATAGCTAATATAACCAATCTGAATAAAATGTATATGCCATCATAATATTTTTTAAAAATCAGTTAAGAGAAAAACGTAAAGAGCATCTGTCACCTTTTTATTTTGAGATACTGACTTTTCAGTCACTGAGTATCCTGCTAAGCATTTAAGCTTTAAATACATACAATTGTTAATTTATTATTATTATTTACAATAATTAGATTTTGCTACCCAATATTTTATCTATTTTTTTCTCACTTAAATTATCAGGGAAATTTTCCAGGTCAACAATATATCAGTTCAGTTAAAGAAGGCCTTTAATGTCCCATTTGTTATTGATACTTCAATACCTAACCTGAAAACCCTTAAGAGAGTAGTAGTACAGCATACTCTCTTGTCAGAGATCTAACCTTGAATTTACTATAGCTCAAGCCTTAGCAAAAGCTGTGCTGGAAAAAAAAAAAAATCTATGTAGAAAATACATCCTGAAAAAAATACAGTCTGTCCTTTTGGAGATCATGTGAAAAAGAATCCTTGGATTCAGCCACATGATCAGAGAGCTGCTACTTAAAGTCAAGTGTGCTTCAAATATGCTGAACTCTGCCTCACCAAGATGTTACAAAGACTCTTTGATGCTCTCTGCTGTATTTCCTGAAGTCTTATCATTAGAAAACATTCTTTATAACACAGTATAACTATTTCATGAGGATTCTTAGAGGAAAATGTGCTTCTGCTCATTAGCTGGCTTATTTTTATCTTATGGGTATAAAATGAGTCAACTATTAATACATACTACTTTATGATTGCTGGTTACAAATCCCAAAGATTTGTAACGTTTTTCAACTTCCTTAGAAATGACATTCAGTTTAAATTGTAACATTACATGCCCTTATTTTTTCCATCACATGATTTTTTTCATTACATTTTTACCTTATGGTATATATTTTGTAAGCTATTTCAAATATCTTTTATTGAGAAACAAGGTAAAATAATTATATAAAGCCAAGATAAGTTAATAAAAGCATTTCCTTTGTTTATAAGAGAATAACTGGGGGGAAAAGATCCACACTATGGCTCTTGGGAATTCAGACCATTAGTAGATCATTTAGTTTCTGAATGTGGCTAATGAGAGCAGAGATTTGTGGATAAGGTATGTAGTTATGAAGTTTATATTGTAATGACTGTTAGTTAGCCTTGTGGTATTATGGTATTGTTACAGATATATGGACTTAAAAACTGACTGCTATGCAAGGGAAGGACTAAGTTCGAGTGTGTTATCTATTTAATATTTTTTAATTAATTTACCATAGCATTTCTTATTCTATAAAGGAAATGTTTCCTAGATTTTTCAGTAATATTGACAGAATTCAATTTTGTCTACAAATTCAGTGATTTCCAATAATCTTATTCTCTTTTGCTTTGCTTTGCTTTCATTTCGGAGTGCAATGTCAGCAAGTACCTATATCCCTGATAAAAAATGGTATGATTATGGAACCATAAGTAATTTTTAATTGATGATAAGATACATTAAAGATCCATAATAAATTGTTAATAAGACAGGTTGGAGTCATATCTCAATCTATAAATACAAAATTCATTATTATTTTATATACTGAAGGATGTTCCAGTGAACTTGAACATCCTGCAACAAAGAAATCAAGATGTAAATTAGAAGACTTTGATCACAAAACTGCTTATCTCAGTGAAATTTGAAAGCAAGCCACCTCCACTCTATTAAGCTTCAAATTCTTAACCTGCAAATGGGGTTGAGGTATTTTTCTTTTATATTTTACTGAATAGTTTCAAAAATTAAGTCATTGTGCATTAATATCATATTTTTAAAGCAATGCTGACATAATATATACACAATAAAATACTACTGATCCTTTAAAAAGAAGGAAGTTCTGTCATTTGCAACATGCTGAGATTATGCTAACTGAAATAAACCTGGCATAAGATTTATCTTATTTATTTATCATATGCATGATATGACTTATATGTAAAATCTCAAAAAGTCGAGCTGAGAGATGTAGAAAATAGAACGGTGGTGGAATAGCAGGTGGGGTGAAGAATGGAAAGTGAGATGGACTGGGATGGACAAAGAAGTGGGAAATGTTAGTCAAAGGGTACAAAGTACCAGTTAGAGAGAAATAATAGGTTTTCGGCATCTATTACATGGTGTTGTGACTACAGTTAATAATATATTGTATATTTCAAAATTTTTATAAGTAGATTTTTGAATGCTCTAACCACAAAGAAATGATAGGTATATAAGGTGATAGATATGTTAATTAGACAGATTTAATTATCATTTCACAAAATACACTTTTATCATAACATTACATTGTACCCCATAAATAAATGCAATCATTTTTCAAAATGATAAACATAGTTACCTTTTAAAATTCAAGTACCCAGCTCCTTTTGGTTGAATTCAGTTTCAAGGTTTACTTTTCATATGCTGTAAATACTATGTCAAAAATCAGCCCTGCCCTCCTCTATAAAAGATACAATTTTTTTAAATCTTTCTCTTAGAAAGCTGTTGAGAATCCTATTATTTAAATATTTTTGAACATCTCTTCTCTTTCTCCTTAAGTAGTTATTTTTCTGTTCATGCCTTAAAATTTTTGTTTTCAAAGGATTTTCTGTTGATCCATTTTTCTTCAAACTGTGCTTTCCCTCTCAATTTCTATGATTTTACATAAGATTACCAAATCCCTTCCTCCATTTTCAAAATTGCTTCTCAGTACCAAATATGTATATCCAATTATCTCCCGAAATTCTTCATCTTGGTGTTCCTCAGGCATCTGAAAACATAACAGCCCCTAAAGGCATTTATCCCCCAGCTTTGTGTGAAATGCGCACCCATGCATATTTGCTTAATACATAAGGATTGTATTTCTTTATCTTAGTGAAGTCTATTGAAATTTGTAATCATGGTAGAAGCCTAATTTGTAAATGCTTGTTTTATTTATTATAAACTTCTAACTGCTTTAAAAAAATTATTTGTGAAAAGAATAGCTTTAAGCTCACTTGAAGGATTTCCTCTGTGCATGACAAAGCCACTAATTCAAGTTTATTTGTTCTATTTTGCTCATAGTGTTTAGGAATTGCTCTTTTTTCTTCTACTTTGATATAATTTTGTTTTATAATTATGCAAAATTTTTATACAACTCCTATGCCAAACCTACAAAACAGGGTACATTTAGAGAAATCTAGCTTCCATCTGTTGCCTAATTTTTATTTCTGTCTTCCCTGTAACCATTTTATTCACTTGATTAAGTATTCTTCCATTTAGAAAATATTTAAGAAAGTATGTATAATTTAAAATTTATTTTTGAGAATACATGTTGCTATAAATATGTTCCAATCATTTGCATTCTTAAATGTATTTTATTATAGTTGTCAAAATCCCATGAAACTCATAATTATTCTAGATAATAATAATTTAACAAAAGGAGATTTGTTCCAGGATGATGGAAAGTATAAAAGTAGACATATTATATGTATATATAAAAGATAGATTAATAAATGTCAAAACAATTTAAAATACAATAAATCATCAAGCGCAATCACTTTGCTTTGATCTAAAATTAAGGGTAACCAAGATTGATTTTCATAAGTGGTTTATGGAAGTCAGGATAGAATGTTGTAATTGCCAAATGATACCGAGCTAGTTTACCATGTTTTTACACATAGACATGCAAATAACTAAATATAAAATAAAATGAGAATTAATAGGAATAGAAACTAAGAAACAGAATTTACCATGTATATAGACATTTACACATACAAAGATGTTAAAAAGAAAAGAGAAAAAAAGTAAAAACCAAAATAACAAAAGATTTGTTTTACAAAAATATGCTTCATAAATTTCTATGATGTTTATCGAATGCAAACTAAATATTTGGCTATAATAGTATTAGCAGTCAAAGGAAAGAGAAATTCATGATTAGATGTAATGTTGAAAGTGCTGTCAAAACATTAATACCAGTTGTTCATAAGAGGCAAAACTTTTCTGACACTGAAAATATGGGTTCCCACAAAAGCATCATTGAAAGACATAGAAAACAATATCTGTGTATATACAATATTGGCAGCATCACTACAATAAACATGCAGTGAGTATCAAATGAGTTATATTTGGTGCATCACAAAACAAAAGATGAAATCATTGGACCACACTGATATCATTCAAATAAATTTATATTTTTATATTTTAAAAAACATCTAAAAATTGTAGTCACAAAAATGTATTCACATTTATAAAATGAATATATTTAATATAATTTAATTTAACATCACCATGCATCCTGAAGAATCCTAAAGAAACTGGCAAAATGGAGAATCTATAGAACTATTACAGTATTCCATTCTTATGTCACAAATGAAAAAATCTAAGTTTCAGAGAGAATAAAGGTATCAGTAAGGATAAAAAATTGTAATGGTAAAGTTGAAATCTTGCGGCTTTTTTGCTCCTGTAGTTCAGTGAGCAGGAGGGAGTGGCACTCAGCAGTTTCTTCACTCCCACAGCTCGGTGAGCGGGAGGGAGTGTTACAGCTCTTTTACTCCTGCCATCTGCAGCTTGGCTAGCAGGAGCATTACAGCTCTTTCACTCCCACAGTTCTACAAGTTCTGAGTTCTTGTTTCCCACCAAGAAGAATAAGGTACATGGACATCAGAGAGTGAGTAAGGCAGATTAGAATTTTATGGAGCGGCAAAAAGAAAGCTCTCAGCAAGCTCTCAGCAGCAAGGGGGACCCAAAAGTGGGTTGCCGTCTGTGAGGCTAAGTCTGGGGTTTTTAGGGCTTAGAATGGGGGAATGCATGGATCCATGTGTGGGCTTGGAAAAGGCACCATTCAATTGGTTAAAGGGCATCCATCACTCGGAATCAATAGAGAGAGAGTGGGTAAGATGAGGACTGAAGTTCTCATTCTGGTCGTGGACTCTATCTGGAACTGGCAGCTTGGTTTTCAGGCTTCAGACTATCTTTGTCCTGAAGGTCGGTTTCACCAGGGACCTGTCCCTGTCTGCCTATGAATTTGTCTGTCTCCTGTCACTATCAAAATGAAAGCCTAAATTCCTTAATTTGTTTTATATTGTACCACGTTGTCTTTGTCAGGTATATGCTAGGAGATTGACTCATGCTTTAAAACTGTAGTGACAAAACAGCTTGAGTTATTTCTATGCATTATAAAAATAAATAAGAACTAAAACATTCATAATCACAATTTCAAATTTAGAAAAATAATTTTGCCTGCATTTTCTCGTTTGATGTTCACAGTAACCTTGAGATGTAGCTTTGGTGATGCCATTTATTAGATTAGAATCAGAGAATCACAGAATATATATAATTTATCTGACCTTCAAAAACTAGTAAATGAGAGGGTAGGGATTCATAGACAGAGATTTGATTCCAAATTAAGCATCCTTTTCATTTATCTACAATTTTCAGTGTCATAACAACTTAGTCTGTTGGTTGAATTATTTTTTCAATAAATGTTTATTAAACAAGTTTGTACAAATAATGATCTGAAGAGTAGAAAAGCAGGTAATTATAGTAAGACTTCATTTCTGCTCAACAAGAATTCACATTGTATACAGGAAATAAAAATACAATAGTAATGTTGATAACTGAAGTTAGTTAGCCAAGTGTTCTAGTAATCACTTCATTTGCTGTCATAAACTTTTTGTATCATGAGTGATATCAAATGATAACATAACAAAATTTGCTAGAAATAGCAGTACTCCAGAAAAGGTTTGCTTCATTTGCTTTATTTAAGATATATAACTCTATGTTTAACACTAAGGATGTTGGCTGGCACTGTGAGAACTATTAGTAGTTATAATAATAGTGAGAATTTTTAATAGATATAATAATAGTGAGACTTGTTAGTAATTATAATGAAAAATCATTATAAAAATCATTAAGCATAGATTAAACAATGTATGCTGAATGGAAGTTTTTCATAAAGCAGTTATTTCTTCTCTCCAGAGTACTATTGACAATTTAAGAGGACAAGTAAGAACCACTGTGAAATGGGCTGAAAGGATTACTGGCATAATTCATCATTTACATATTGTATTACTAAAGTACAAGACTTTTAAAAAGTTTAATGGATGCCACACTTGTTGCTGAAATTCACAAGTGATTTCTCAGTCATAATGAATGTAGATCCTGATTCAAAATTTATTTTTCAGTAGAATATAAAGCACATTTAAATGAATGCTTTAAAAAAGTGGTTGCCTGCGTAAGATTTGCAGGATTCCTTTTTTTACAATTTAACTTAGTCCCCTACCATCATTTTCCATGCTACAGCATCATTTCCATTCTTTCCCACAAATAAATACCTCATTAACATAATATTTGGTTCTAGATATTCATTGTGGAATCAAACAGGTTCAATTTCAATTTGTAATTTGATTAAAACTGGTTATATGACTATGGATAAATTATATAACCTTTCTATAAGACTCTCTTCTGTCAAAGGGCTATTTTAAAAAAACCTCTCATTGTTGTTGCTATAAAAAATTCATACATATACTCTAAGTTATACCTAGAGCCATTATCATCATTCTCATTATTCTAATAGTTAAATTGATGGATATGAAGTTATTTTTATTTGACTGAAACAACAGTAAAAGTATCCTATATGTAAATACTGTTTTGCTGTGAAGAGAGGAGAGAGAGAGAGAGAGAGAGAGAGAGAGAGAGAGGTTCCTTTTCAATCACAATCATGTTTTGTCTTGAGAAGGAAAGAAAAAAAAATCAAGAATAGTGAGTTTATTTTCATTAAGAATTAGAATGTGTATTTAGTTTTGGACTATGAGGGCAAAGGCCTTTGGCCACCTAAGAGTTTGCTGAAAAATTACTGACATGAGGCAGATTGATTAGTTGGATAAAAGGCATACAAATTGATTTGATGTACATACACAGATCCTTCAGGATGAAGACCCAAAGATACAAGGGCATTATCTATTTTCATCGTTAGATTTAACAAAATATGGAAAGGTGTGTAGAAATATGATTGGATGAAAAGGTCATGATCTAATGCTAATTGACTGAGTAGGGAAATCCAGCAAGGCCTTTTGTTCTAGATTCTTCTTACCTCTCTGATTATGCATTTCTTCCTTCTGGGTGTGGGGTGAGGCCCTTGATGAAATGGGGGTCTTATGACCTACAGTCAAACATGGTAGCTCAGATAATCTTGTAATAGCCAGTTTTTAAGGATAATATTTTTAGGTTTTATGACTGGCTTTTGGGAAAAGAAACTCTGGTTTGTATGCCCTTACTTGGGGAAGAAGGATTCTAGTTTCTATGGCCAGCCTGTGGAGAGAATGCGACTGAGAGACAGGAGAACAGGAGAAGGTCAGAGAGAAACTTTTGCTTCTGAGGCTGCTGCTGAGGCCTTCATTTTGGAGTATTGTTTTCTGGGTTCCATCAGGACAAACCTATCCAATTAGGAATTTTTCCCTAGCTTATTTTGGTTAACTCCCTTCTTAATACATTTCTTAATACATAACAATTAAGATTTGTCTTCTAGAAGTTCTCTAGACCTACTTTGAAATTGTGTTTCTTTTTTATCTTTTTTTAAATTTCAGGTAGTATGGAGAATAGTAACTACATTCTCTATGAATTTTTAATCTCTAATGTAAGAATATTCACTGAATAAAATGTTTCTTGTATACCTGAATAATGAAAAGTTTTGCATTTCATGCTGTTTATGCCTTGTGATTAAACATATGGTAGTTGTTTCAAATTTCACTTAAACTAATATATAGATGGCTTTTCCCTGAAATTAGTAAGCTGGCTTTTAAATTTTCATTTCATTCATAAACAGATTTTACTTATCCCCTTAAATCAATGTATATTTTTAGCTTAATATTAAGAAAAAGATGAGTACTTGGTAAATTCAGCTATGAAAGGCAAAGATTATTAAAGAATGAATAAAGAAAAAACCTATAATGAATTATTGAGATGAATTATAAATCTTAATTTTATACATACATGTAAATTGTCTCAATATATATTTTTTCAAACTAGTGAGTAGTGATTAGTTATCCTTTTATCTTTAAGGAGATAGTATAATAAAAATAAGTATAGATTGCTAACTCTCAAGGAAATTGTATAGGTAAAAAGCAGAGGCATAGCTTGACTAAAGTATCTATGAAAGCACGACTGACTTCTGTGTTATAGTGCCTTTTTTCCCATGAAATGTGATAACTGCATTACTCTTTGCTTTTATAAACCAATTTTATCATTCTGGAAATGTAAAATTTTTAGCATCATAAAACAAATACGCTTATGTTAACAGAGTTTAGTTTATTATTTTTGCAAAGAGAGTAATGTACCTTTGGTGGTTGTATTGTTTCTTACCATATGACTCCCCATGGGAAGTTGAAAAAAGGACGCACCATATTGAGTTACACCCTATCTGGAAGGAATGTTTTAAGCATAACACTGATACTGTGGTAGCATTACTTCCTCAGTGATATTTGTGCCACTTTCATTTTAGGTTCTTAATAGATACTCTAATAACTAATGCATTCATTTTCTTTCAGAATCACAATCACTTAGCTTTGACTTGTATTTGTTCATAATGTCCTGAAGAAACAAGTTTGAGCTTTTCTGACATTAAGGTTCTTGGAAAACTTTACATCAATTACAGTGAAAGAGAACAATCAATAAAGCACACCTGCTCCTTCTTTTAATTTTTATATGGTGAATAAGATGAGTAAAATTTAATTAAATATTTTACATATGAAATATAGTTCTAGTTTTCTTGATTTATTGCTAAAATTAACACATAAAGAGTGTGTTAACTACTTTTTTAATAATTCTAATTCAACTACTTATTTATATTCAATTTTCTACTTATTTATATTCACTTCAGTTGCCATGGTTACCCTTTCTTTCAATCAACCTTCTGTTAAGTTTGTTATATTAAGGTTTTTTAATTGATGAAAGATGAATTGTGCATATTAATGGTATAAAATGTGATATTTTGAGAGAGATATGTGTACACACATTGTGAAATGACTAAATATAGCTAATAAACATATTAATCATCTAACATAATTATCATTTTGTGATCAGAACTTTATTTATCCCTTTAAGTTAATGTGCATTTTTAGCTTAATATTAAGAAAAAGATGAGTACTTGGTAAATTCAGCTATGAAAGGCAAAGATTATTAAATAATAAAAAAGAAAAAACCTATAATGAATAATTAATGAAATAAATTATAAATCTTAATTTTAGACATACATGTAAATTGTCTCAATGTATTTTTTTTCAGACTAATGAGTAGTGGCTAGCTATCCTTTTATCTTTAATGAAATAAATCTATCATCTTAGAAACTTTTAAGTATACTATACATTGTTATCAATTATAATCACCATGCTGTATAACAGATCTCCAGAACTTATTCTTCCTGTCTAATTGGAACTTTGTGCCTTTAAACCATCTCCCTATTCTTTTTCTCGCCCCAGCCCCTGTTCACCACATTTCTACTCTGTTTCTTTGAGTTTGATTTTATTTTTATTTTTAGATTCATATATAACTGAAATCACACAATCTTTGTCTATTTGTGCCCACTTTACTTCACTAAGCATAATGTCATCCATGTTTATCTATGTTGTTGCAAATAACAGAATATTTGTCTTAAAAGACTGAGCAGCTTTATTGAGATATAATTTACATTTTATGCAATCTATCCATTTAAAATGTATAATCCCGTGGTTTTTTGTAAGTTCACAGCAGTTGTTCAACCATCACCCCAGTCCATTTTAAAACATTTTCATCACCCATAAAAGAAACTTCATAACCACTAGTAGTGGTTCCTCATTCCTCTCCCCTATCTTCTCTTCCTTACTGCATGGCCCCAAGCAATCACTTATCTACTTTCTGTCTCATATATTTGTCTATTCTGGACATTTAAAATATGTTTTTCCTCCCTAACTGTAGTTATATCCTTTGACCAACAGGCACAGAAAGACAAATACTGCATGACCTCACTCACATGTGGAATCTAAAAAAAGTGTATCTTATAGAAGTAGAGAGTAGAATGGTGGTTACCAGAGGCTTTGATGGCTAGTGGGTTGGGAGGATAAAGAGATGTTGGTCAAAGGTTATATAATTACATTTAATTGAGAGGAATATTTTTTTAATATCCAGGATACTCTTTTCTAATGCTAAATATTATTCCATTGTGTAATATGCCACATTTTCTTTATTCATTGATCCATTGATGAACATTTATATTGATTCCATATCTTGGCTATTATGAGTAACATTAGTCATACTCAGAATAATATACTCCCACTCATACTCACTCTTAGACATAATAGCCAAGATATGGCAGAGAACATGGGAGTGCAGACATCTCTTTGATTTACTGATTTTATTTACTATGGACTTGTACTGAGAAGTGAAATTACTGGATCATATAGTAGTTTTATTTTCAATTTTTTGAGGAAACTTTGTATCGTATTCCACTGCTCAGTTAATTATTAAATCACTCCTGGATTCTGCCATTTGTTTCATAATCAGTCTCTTTGCATCTATACTCAATTTTTAGTATCACTACATATATTTTTCTAAAGTATTAAATTCATATAATTATTCATTTTATAAAACAAAACAAAACACTAATGTGGACACTAAAATTCTATAGTATAAAAATCTAAGTGAATTGTACTGGAATTCAAATATCTTCATTACCTGTGTTCAATCAATATTTTTTTAATGCAGGCTAAGAGCAGATTTGTTTAATGTCATCAATCTATTCAGCTACCTATTTAGTAAATTATATTATTATGGTAGCAGCTATGGTAGTAGTAGTTGTTGTAATTATAATACATACTATAATATTTATTTATATAAGACACTCCACAATCTTTATCTCATTTATTCTGTACAAAAATCTTTTAAAAGAAGCTTTATTGGCCTGGCATGGTGGCTTACTTCTGTAATCCCAGCACTTTGGGAGGCTGAGGCAGGTGGATCATGAGCTCAGGAGTTGGAGACCAGCCTGGCCAACATGGTGAAACCCCATCTCTACTAAAAATACAAAAATTAGCTGGGTGTGGTGGCACATACCTGTAATCCCAGCTACTCGGGAGGATGAGGGAGGATAACCGCTTGAACCCGGGAGGCGGAGGTTGCAGTGAACCGAGATCACACCACTGCACTCTAGCCTGGCTACAGAGTGGGACTCCATTGCAAAAAAAAAAAAAAAAAAGAAAAGAAAAGCATTATTATATTCACATTATTGACAGGAAAACTAAAACTGAGAAAAGTTACTGGTAACTAGCCCTACCACATGTAGTGACAAAGAACAGAGACAAAATTTTCACCTAGGTCCATTAGATGCTGAATTATATTCTTTCATAAGGGATAAATATAAGTAATCTTTGGCCTAATAAAAGACAATTGTTTCAGTTGAATTTAGCCTCTGTTCATTTAGTATATAGTTAAATCCATAATATATAACTTGTTTTCTACTATTTATTATAATATATAAACCCCTAGCTTATGCCAAAGTCATTCATTTCTGAAAATTTTTTTAAAAAGAACAATTCTAATGCTTGTAATTCCTGTATTCCATTTTTCTGGAAGATTTAACTATTAAATTATTAATTATAACTTAATGCCTTTTTAAAATATAATTTTTCTGAACTATTTCTACCCTGACCCCAAAATTACTTAAAATGGCTTTAGGAAACAACGAGTAAGTAGCTATATAACTGTTAGCAAATTATTTCTTTATTTTCAGTCCTGCTATGCAAGCCTACCAAGTGAAGTGATTGAACCAAATGATCCCAAAGTTATCTTCCCTAAGTAGCAAAATATATTGTCTATTATTGATACAAATGGAATACAATGTAGTATATGCTGACCCCAAATTACTTTTAGGTGGTAATTATTTTTATAATAGATAAAGACAGAATGAAAATAGACAAATTAACAGATAAATGACAGAGAGAGATGGAATACACAAATAATGATTACAAAGATAAATGATATACACATATAGAAATATGAGCATTTCTTTTTCTAACAATTAATTATATTTGGAAAAGGATTGAGCCTAATAACTGTACATGACAATTATTCAATAAATGTTAATTATTATTGTTGTTGTTATAGCAGAATCTACAGTCTTATTCTAGAATAATTCCAGATAATAAGTATTTGACAATTAGTAAGTAATGATAGACATTTTGCCAACACGTGTGCTTTGGAGGTGCCTCTGTACCTTCGGAATGGTGTCACTTTCATAATTTTGGTCATGTGGTGAGATGGTGTGATAGGCAGAATAATAATCACTCCCTCCCCAGAGATGTCTACATCCTAGTATACTGAGCTTGTGAATATGTTACCTTACATGACAAAAGTGACTTTGCAGATGTGATCAAATTCAGGATTTTGAGACAGGAAGATTAGCTTGTATTATCTGTGTGTAAAAGTCTTTACAAGAGAAAAAGGGAGGCGAGGACAAACAAGATGCAACCATAGAAGCAGAGGTCAAGAGATTTGAAGGTGCTATGCCGCTGTATTTGAAGATAGGGAAAGGGACTATAATCCGAGGAATACAGGTGGCCTTTAAAAGTTCAAAAAACAGGTAAATGGATTCTCTGTAGAGGTTTTAGAAGAAACGCAATTCTGCCATCACCTTGATGTTAACCCTATGAGCCTTCTGACCCTCAGAAGGGTTTATAGAAATTTATTACAATAGTAATAGGAAGTAACACGACTAATAAGAAACTAATGCAAAGGGTAAGGAGGAGTGGGAATAAAAAAAAGAGGAAAGGGAAAATGAGGAGAAAAGGAGAGAGATGATTTTGTAAAACAGTAAAGCAGATACATTTTCTTGAAAGTCATATATAGTAGTTCATACTCATGTCCTTACAAAAAAACAGGCTTCCCCTCTACAATCTGTTATCTGCTCACATTAAAGTATAGGTGACATAGATTAAAGTATTATAAGACCGAAAATTTTTGCATTTTAGTAACAGGAGACTCTAAAGTCAACCTAATGAAACTTCAATGGTGTAAGTTTGTAAAAAACCTGACCACTTGAAGATAATTATTTAGGGAGCAGATGGGCTGTCCATGTGTTCTTGAAATTATGCTTTCTATATGGTCATCAGTCTCATGAGGTAGACTATGTACTTGATAGTAATTTATGACCTGTTTTCTCTTTTTTAATTGTAACCTTTTTTTTTTTTTTTTTTGAGACAAAATCTTGCTCTGCAGCCCAGGCTCAAGTGTAATGGTGCAATCTCGGTTCACTGCAACCTCTGCCTCCCGGGTTCTGGTTCAAGCAATTCTAAGCAATTCTCCCGGCTCAGCCTCCTGAGTAGCTGGGATTTCAGGAATGCGCCACCATGCCCAGCTAATTTTTATAGTTTTAGTAGAGACAGTGTTTTACTATGTTGGCCAGGCTGGTCTTGAACTCCTGACCTCATGATCCGCCCGCCTCGGCCCCCCAAAGTACTGGGAGTACAGGCGCGAGCCACCGTGCCCGGCCAAACAAAATGTTTCTTAATATCTCACAATTTATGTTTGCTTAGAAAGGATATGTGAACAAACTTGTTTTTCTCAAACTCCTGGTCTCCTGGCTTTCTGAAAACCACAAGCTTTCACCTTGTCTTATTTTTTAGCAGCTGAAAATCACATCCAGATTTGAACTTTGTCATATTATAATTGTTCTACCTCCTAAAAGGAAATTCTGAAATTGTCCTCTTTGAAACAATTTTCTCTCACCTATTCATCTCTCTCATCTCCTCATTCCCCCGGCCTTAGTTTGTGCTCCAGTGTAAAATGAATTCTCCAACCCAGTGTAGCTGTCTTCTGGATTCTGTACTTTTGCTCCTCCTCAACCAGGTGATTCCGAGCCTTTTGTCTTAGTTCTTCCTTGTCAACCAATGTGCACTGTTAGAAAAGTCGCATCAATGTGCTAGCTGGGCCTCCATGACTAAATTTTTTCTTTTCTTCTACTCAAACATTGTTTACATTCTTTTTTTTTTTTTCTTTTTGAGATGGAGTCTCACTCTGTCACCCAGGCTGGACTACAGTGGCACAAACTCGGCTCACTGCAACCTCCGCCTCCCAGGTTCAAGCAATTCTTCTGCTTCAGCCTCCTGAGTAGCTGGGACTACAGGCGTGCACCAACACACCTGGCTAATTTTTTGTATTTTTAGTAGAGATGTGGTTTCGCCATGCTGGCCAGGCTGGTCTCGAACTCCTGACCTTATGATCCGCCTGCCTTGGCCTCCCAAAGTGCTGGGATTACAGGCATGAGCCACCGCACCTGGCATCATTGTTTACATTCTTGGTTTCATTATTTTTTCCCATTCTACTCCATTTCAAAACTTTTCTTTTGTTATCATGATTTCACCTTAAAAACCTCTATCCCTAGCAAATGCATCCCCTAATCCACAATCTTAACTGTCTTTAAATGACACAATTACCCAGGTAATTATGCCCCAAATCTAGGAGTTGTTACTGATGCCTTCTTTACCCTCAGCCCTACATCAGTCATCTTCCTAAGGACCATCATTTGGTCCAAAATGTATCTCAAATTTGCCTATTAATTTTTCATATCTACTGCCAACACCCTACTCCTGAAACCCTTATTGTTTCTTAGCTTTTTCATTCCAGTTCCTCTTATCCCTTTTTTTTTTTTTTTTTTTTTTTTTTTTTTTTTTTGAGACGGAGTCTCGCTCTGTCTCCCAGGCTGGAGTGCAGTGGCGGGATCTCGGCTCACTGCAAGCTCCGCCTCCCGGGTTCACGCCATTCCCCTGCCTCAGCCTCCCAAGTAGCTGGGACTACAGGCGCCCACCACTACGCCCGGCTAATTTTTTGTATTTTTAGTAGAGACGGGGTTTCACCGTTTTAGCCGGGATGGTCTCGATCTCCTGACCTCGTGATCCGCCCGCCTCGGCCTCCCAAAGTGCTGGGATTACAGGCGTGAGCCACCGCGCCCGGCCCTCTTATCCCTTTTGATAGCTATTCTGTATACAATATCCCAAGTTATAGTCTTAGAATATAAGAGATCATATTTGGGCCTTGCTTAGAATATGACAGACTTGTTCTTGTCTTTAGAGCAACATTCAAATTCTATGACTAGTTGTACAAGATTCTGCATGATCTGACCCCTGCTTGCTTCTTCAGGCTCATGTCCTAGTCTCACATGCTCACTTATTTCCGGTCTTACTGAAATTATTTCAGTTCTTTCAACATGCTGTGCCCTTTTCTACTGGCAAGCCTTTATTGATCTGTGCAGTCCTCACTGGGAATGACTTTCCTTCCATTTTTTACTTTACTGGTTTCATCTAATCCTTCAAGTCTCATTTTAAATTCAACTGCTCAAAGAGGAATTCGCTGTCACCATTCTAAAGCCTAAACCCTTATTCCAACAGCCTTTCTGTTTTCAGCCCACTGAGTATATTTCAAAGTTTATTATCTGTTTTTAGATGTATTATTTATCTATTTTCTCATCTTTTAATTTGGTTCCTTTACTGGAGAAGAAATCATGCATGTTTCATTTATTTTTCAACAAATCCTCAATGATCAGCAGTGTGCCTAATATATATAAACTGTTAAGAATTTGTTTAGTAAAAGGACAAATGAAGCCCTCACTTTCAATCCTGTCACATTGGTTTTCTACGTTGATAAAATAATTGGAACTGACCATTGAGAATTCTTTCACATTTGTCCTTTTCATTTCAAATGTTTCCATATCTTCAAGTATTTTATACTCTCTAGTTTCAGAGAAACACTCACTTTAACAACTGGTCTCATTCCGGCTCAATATCCTCAGGATTTCCCTATTCCCTTTGCATCTTTTTAGTAATTTTCCCTCTAGTTACTCCTTTACATGGCCTCTAAGAACCTAACAAATTCATTCCTTGACTGTGCTCTCCTATTTCGTGTCTTTCTAGGTCTAAGTCTTTGAATACATAAGGTATCCATGTTCCCTATGCTCTTTTGCATCTCACTCCATTACCTGCTGTGGGCTCTGTCAACAACCCTCATGAAAATATTCCACAAAAAAGGTTATCAATTACAAACCACATGCTTAGGATTTATTTCAGCTAGACTCTCTATTGCATTCAACTGTGGGGCTGCTTGCTAGCTTGAGGTTATTGTGGCATTCTTAATCCTTGATCAGTTTTGCTCCATATTTGTGATACTTTATCTTCTTTTACCCTACACTTAATGTGTACACACTTTCTATCTTCAATAATGTTCTCCTTCTTAACTAGTCTCACTCTCTCAAGCTTTATATCTACTTCAATATTCATTTCTATATTAAAGTTTCATTCATTATTATACTTTATACAAATTAAGTTCTCAATAAATATTTGTCAAATGGAATTGACTTGAAGCACTGTGTCTTATTCCTGAACTTTATCCTTTCTGATTTGAACCTATTAAGTGGGACTGGCATGGCCATGAAGAAGGACACTGTCTCCTGCAAAGTATCTGCCTGATGTATTAGAACAATGGGGCATAATCGGAGTCAGCAAACCCTACTTCATTTAAAGATCATATAGTCTGCAAGAGAAACAAAACTATTTTCTATAAATTTCCTACCATAGGTAACCACACTTTTTTCTTCTCCACATTAACGGAGAAAAGGAAATATGACAAACTTAGAGCTAAAAATACATGCTGGCTTTCTATGAACAGTGTAAAGGCTTTTTTTTTTTTAAAGTGAAATATTAAGCAAAAGCATTAAAAATCAGTACACTTTTATTGAATTAATTTCTCTTTGTGATTCTTTCCACTGCCCACCAAAGTCACCTTAGTTCCTCTAAAGCTTGAGTCAAGACTTACCTTCAAGTTAGTTCTTTTTAAAAGAACTGATGCTTGGGCCAGGTGCGGGGGCTCACCCCTGTAATCCCAACTTTGGGAGGCAGAGGCGGGCAGATCACAAGGTCAGGAGATCAAGACAATCCTGGCTAACATGGTGAAATCCCGTCTCTACTAAAAATACAAAAAATTAGCCGGGCATGGTGGCGGGCGCCTGTAGATCCAGCTACTCGGGAGGCAGAGGCAGGAGAATGGCGTGAACCCGGGAGGCGGAGGTTGCAGTGAACCCGGATCGCGCCACTGCACTCCAGCCTGGATGACAGAGACAGACTCCGTCTCAAAAAAAAAAAAAAAAGAACCGATGCTTAATCCACACTTGTCCTGTCAGCTCACAATTGCTTTGTTTCTTTTATTTCCACTTGAATTATGCACATACTGGGTTCCTCAGACATTTTCTATTACTTGGTTAAAGATACAGTAGAATTCTTTATACCGAATTTTATGTACAGTATTTATTTCATAATGATAAAAGTAAATAAAATGTTTATATGCAAAACGTATTTCATAAAATATATAGTAGTTCTAATAAATTTTAGCAGGTGGAAGGATTATTTTATTCAATATGTTTAATTTTATGCATTTAGTGGTGCGGAGGAATGACAGTTCAGAAAAGATCCTAGGACCTAATGCACATTAACTGCTTTTATTTAATTATAATAATTTTATTTGTTGATGCATCATTGCCTTATAGACAAGAAAAAATCAATCTAAAATAGCAGATAAAGTCTATTTGAAAAGAAAAGCAAAGCTAAAATTGCCAAAGAAAAAAAAAATCTGATGGCCCAGATGTCAGGATATATTATTAGTTTCAAACGAAAATCCTTGAAATCTTTTTTTTTTTTTTTTTTTTTTTTTTTTTTTTTTTTTTTTTTTTGAGACGGAGTCTGGCTCTGTCTCCCAGGCTGGAGAGCAGTGGCGCGATCTGGGCTCACTGCAAGCTCCGCCTCCCAGGTTCACGCCATTCTCCCGCCTCAGCCTCTGGAGTAGCTGGGACCACAGTCCCCCGCCGCCATGCCCGGCTAATTTTGTTTTTATTGTTTTTGTATTGTTAGTAGAGACGGGGTTTCTCCATGTTAGCCAGGATGGTCTCGATTTCCTGACCTCGTGATCCGCCTGCCTCGGCCTGCCAAAGTGCTGGGGGATTACAGAGAGCCACTGCATCCGGCCGAAAGTCCTTGAAATCTTAAAATTCATAGCATTGAGTTTTCATTAGGAAGTATACATATTTAGGAAAATTAGTAAACATTTAGTATGTATTACCAAAATCTATACTACGAAATGTATAAAGTAAGACTCCCTTTAGCAGTCTCTGTCAAGAGTTTAAAGCAGAGTTTCTCAAACCTGACTGCCCGTTATCACTCCCCGGGGAGACTTGACAGGTATCATTGCTGAGGACTCAGTCCCAGAGATTCTGATTGAATCAGCCTGGATGGCATCCCTGGAATGGCAGTTTTTAAAAGCTCCCTAGGAAATTCTAATATTCCGCAAGGATGAGAACCACTGGATAGAATTAAAAGTATGGGTTTTTGGTCACTATTAGCACATGTATAAGTATATAAATATATTTTATTTTATTAAAATGCACAGAAACAAAGTACTAGACAGGACCTTACCTATCTCTTATTATATTTCTGCTTCTGCTTTGGTTACCACCAATGATAAAATAATTCAGTATCTGGCATCTTTTTGTTTGTTTGTTTGTTTTTGTTTGTTTTTTGAGACGGAATCTTGAGCTGTCCTCCAAGCTGGAGTGCAGTGGTGCAGTCTTGGCTCACTGCAAGCTCTGCCTCCCGGGTTCAGGCCATTCTTCTGCCTCAGCCTCCTGGAGTAGCTGGGAATACAGGAGCCCGCCACCACGCCCGGCTAATTTTTTTGTACTTTTTAGTAGAGACGGGGTTTCACCGTGTTAGCCAGGATGGTCTCGATCTCCTGACCTCGCGATCCACCCACCTTGGCCTCCCAAAGAGCTGGGATTACAGGCGTGAGCCACCACACCCAGCCTCTGGCATCTTATAGTCAATCAAAAGGTACCTGTTGAGCTGTGAATTGGACTACCTGCTGATGCTCATGCATCATTCTTTTGTCATATTCTTCATCAGTGTTTTTAAACATAAAATATTTTCCCACTGCATAATCAGTGCTATCACTAAAGGAAATAAAAATATTTTACCCCAAAATATATTTCTTTGACATATTTTGAAATAGCTATCACAGGGCCAGCTGAATGAGGTGGGGAAAATTTGCCTCTGTAGAGAATCTACATTAAATCAGCCAAGCCTTCTTTTTCTAGGCCTTTCTCAGATCTAGGAGACTTTAACTGGGACTCTGACACCTTTAAAGATCTGAAAAGAAACATTTACTGTCTATTCTCTCTGAGGACTAACACCTATGAGGCTTTATCTACATAACAAGGCTACCTTTGCTAGCCAGGCCCCTTCCTTTCTTCCTCCTATACCTGTCTCTCTGCTGAAACTTGATTTACCAACATAGTATCTTTTGGGCTGTGCTCTGAGCCAGCATTCTTAAAAGATGGTATATCATTTCTGTACCTCACTGGGAGGTTGGGTCTTCATTTTGAAGACTCCCTTGTATACACGTCAAATAAATGTGCATACTCTAATTCAATTCAATTCTGACACTCTCTACCTGAAGATAGCATCAGATACTAGACATTGAGGACTCATTTCCACAAGGCTTCTTCCCACTTCTGATGCCAATAAAAAAACCCAGGTTGTTTTACTTTACCTGTATTTCCTACCAACTGATTATAAGCTGGGGCTCCCACAGCTGCCTCCTCAGGTTCAAATAATTTGCTAGAGGAGCTTATATAACTCAGGAAAACACTTGATTTTCATTTATCAGTGTATTATAAATAATATTACAAAGGATACAGGTTAAAAGATGCATAGGGTGAGATACGTGGGAAGGGGTGAATAGCTTCCATGCCACAGGTGCACCACTGTCAAAAAACCTCCACATGTTCAGTTATCCAGAAGCTATGCAAACCTGATCCTTTTGGGTTTATATGGAAGGTGCATTACATAGACATGATTAATTACTGCCTTGGTAGCCAATTCAACCTTAAGGTCATCTTCCCTCCATGGAAGTTAAGGGCGGTAAGGCTAGCTAAAAGTTCCAACCCTCTAATCCTGACTACCTTACTCTTGCTAGTGATGAGCCCCCATCCTGAAGCTACCTGGGGACTTCCAGTCACCAGTCAACTCGTTAGCATACAAAAAGATATTGTAACCTCCCAAAGGATTAACCTTGCCTGCTACCTAGACAGATCCGATTTATCAAAACACAGGGGAATTGCAATAAAGAGTAATTCATGAAGACCTGGCTGTGCGGAAGACTGGAGTTTTATTATTACTCAAATCAGTCTTCCGGAGCATTCGGGGATCAGAGTTTTTAAGAACAACTTTTTGGGTCGGGAAAAGCCAGTGAGCCAGGAGTGTTGACTGGTTAGGTAGGAGATGAAATCATGGGAAGTTGAAGCTGTCCTTATGTACTGAGTCAGTTTCTGGGTGGGGGCCACAAGACCAGATGAGCCAGTTTATTGATCTGGGTGGTGCCAGCTGATCCATCAAGTGCAGGCTCTGCAAAATACCTGAAGCACTGATTTTAGGAGTAGTTTAGGGAGAGTCAGAATCATGTTGCCTCCAGCTGCATGACTCTAAACCATAATTTCTAATCTTGTAGCTAATTTCTTAGTCCTACAAAGGTAGTCGAGTCCCTAGGCAAGAAGGAAGTTGGTTTTGGGAAAGGCTTCTTATCGTCTTTGTTTTAAACTATAAACTAACTTTCTCCCAAAATTAGTCCAGCCTACACCCAAGAAGGAACAAGGACAGCTTAAATGTTAGAGCCAATATGGAGTTGGTTAGTTTAAATCTCTTTCACTGTCTCAGTCATAATTTTGCAAAGGTGGTTTCAATATCACTTTGAAGATTCCAAGGATTTTCTGAGTTGGATGCTAGGAAACAGGGACAAAGATCAAATATGTATTTCACAATATCGCACATGTACACCCATCTGCCTCCACTTCCAGCAGATTATAACAGCCCAGTGAAAAGAATTTACTCTTTTGTATTAAAGAAGCAAAAAACTGGTCAGATAAGTAATAAACAACATACTATAGAATCAAGAACGGTCTTGCATTCTTTTCTGCATGACGAATTACCGTAATCTTAGTAGTTTATAACAGCGCACATTTATTATCTCACATTTCCCATGGGTTAAACATCCAAGTACCATTTAACCATGTCTTCCATTTATGGTCTCTCAAGGCTGACATTATGATGTTGGCAAAACTGTGTTCACTTTTGGAGACATAACTAGAGAAGAATCCACTTCCAAGATCATACAAGATATTGGAAGAATTTATTTACTTGCAGTTATGTGACTGAGAACCCAGCTTCTACCTGGCTGTCAGATGGATCTTCAGGATCTAGAGTCAGCCTACAGTTCCTTCAAGTAGCTGCAAACTTCAAGCTTGCAAGGAATGTCTACTCCAGTCTGCTTATATCACATAATATAATGTTGAGGGAGTGACATCTTATCTCCTTTGTTATATGCTGTATGTTATAAGACAGTAATAACCCTGCCCAACCACTCACCACACCCTCACTCAACAGGGAGGGAATACAAAAAGATGCAACTAAGAAATGTGAATCATTTGGGTCACTTTGGGGTCTATTTGCCAGAGGGTCACCATAAACTTGAACTTCATTATGTATTTAGGTGAAGACACTCATCCTAGCATAAAAGGAATGGGTGGAGTACCAGAGTAGGATGTTTTGAAGAAGACAGAATCTTTCTGACAACCCTTACCTATAGGCAAAGCTAGCGAGGATTTGCTCCTTCTGTGGTGTAGTAAAGGGAGATCAGTAGGCTCTGGGACAAAACTTCTCCCATTCCCTGTCTCTTCATGTCCTTGAAATCTGATCATCTCTCTGTATGAAGCTGTGTAACTATTTTCAATGTTCAGTATGTATTTACTTTGAGGAAATATGAGTAAACTGGTACTCATAATGTAACTGTTCAGCTGATTCTTCCTGCTCACTGCCCAAACAAAATCAATTCACAGAGATCATGGCATTTCAGCAATGAGTTTAATTGTCAGAGGCCAGCCATGCAATGTGGGAGATGGAATTATTACTCAAATTAGCCTCCTTGAAGGCTCAGATGTCAGGGGTTTTTCAAAGACAGTTTGGACTGCAGGGGCTAGGGTATGGGGAGTGCTGATTGGTTAGGTTGGAGATGAAATCATAGGGAGTCGAAGCTGTCCTCTTGCACTGAATTGCTTCTGAGTGGAACCACAAGAGCAGTTGGTAGGTCTAGGTGGAGCCATCGGTTGGTGGATCCGGGTAAAGCCGTTAGTTGTCAGACATGCAAAAACTGTGAAAAGATATCTCAAAAGGCCAATCCTCAGTCCACAAAAGTGATGTTGTCTGCAGAAGCAATTGGGAAAGTTGCCTATCATGACCTCTGGAATAATGGCTGGCAATCATTTATGTCTCCACCTTAGCAGAATTTAGTCTCCTCTAGTCTCCTAGCCTGGTGTTCTCTCATTAGCTTTACACAGGGGGTTGAGTTCTGAGAAAGGTTCATTATTGTTTAAACTATAAAGTAAATATATCCAAAAATTAGCTTGGCCCAAGCCTAGGAATAATTAAGGGCAGTTTGAAGGCCAATGGCAAGATGAGGGCTAGCCAGATCAGATCTCCTTCACTGCCATAATTTTCTCATTGTTATAATTTTTGCAAAGGCAGTTTCAATAACATGGAGTAGACTAGACTAGGCTGTGGTTACAAATAGTCCCCTCCCAAATCTTAGTAAATTAAAATAACAAAGGTTTCTATTTTGCTCATGCTACATATACATCATGGGTCATCTGGGCATTCTGCTTCATGTCCTCCTCACTCTAGTACTTAGGATGCTAAAGCAGCTCTCTGGAAAATTGTTGATCTCCTGACAGGTGGAAAGAGTATGGGGCATATTGAACACTAGCTCTTAAAGTTTCTACTGGCGAAGACATGTCACTTCTCCTTACATTGACCAAAGTAAGCCACATAGCCATACCTAAGTTCAAAGCAGTGGACCATGAAAGGTAATTGAAAATACATGATGAACTGGGTTAAAGAATACTAAAAGGAAAGTCAGGGTGGAGGGTGGTTATGTTACAGGAAAGAGGTTCGATCCAGACCCCAAGAGAGTGTTCTTGGTTCTCATGCAAGAAAGAATTCAGTGTGAGTCCATAAAGTGAAAGCTTAATAAAGTTTATTAAGAAAGTAAAGGAATAAAAGAATGGCTACTCTATAGACAGAACAGTCCTGACGCCTGCTGGTTGCCCATTTTTGTGGTTATTTCTTGATGACATGCTAAACAAGGGGTGGATTATTCATGCCTCCCCTTTTTTAGAACATAGAGGAGTCAATTTAGATATAGACAGGTTTTCTTATTGTTTGTAAGATGCCACTTGTAGAAAGCTGACTGATCAACTAGTTAGATAAATTTGATTTCTTTGGTTAGCTAGAAAAATGGTTAATATTGTAAACAAAATTGTAATAGTTAAGTTTATGTGATAAGTTAGATGGTAAGACTTGAAGTTGTTAGTCTAATTGCACTACATAGTCTAAAGGCAGAGAACCAATCTCAGTTTTAATGATATGGCTGATTCTGTCCCAATAATTAGACCCATTCCTGCTAGTTCCATTATAAGTCATGATACTATGACCCAAGTACTAACTCTCTCTTTAGCTTTAGATTTTCTTCCCTCTGAAATTTGCAGTGTCTACACAGAAAGATAACGATACATGTTAAAAACAAATTCTTCATTTGTGACCTCAAAGATACTTGAGAGGTCACCTGAATGATAACTATGTCACCCTCTTTTTGGTTAATAGTCTGTAAATTCTTGATTTTGATGTTTTGTTTGAGTTATTAGTTCAGCTTGGAAAATACAGCTCATACAAAGCCAGAAAAAACCTTCAGTTTGAGGAAAAGTAGCCTGGGCAGGAGGTACATTAGTAAAGAGTCAAGCAAAGGTCCTTAGAAAATGGCAACAGAAAAAAACCTCAAGTTGTCAGAAATTTACAAAAGGAGAATCAAGGGCTTGGCAGGCAGAGGACACTCAGGTAGGTAATAGGAGGTTCCAGCCAGTAGATCATACATATTACAGTACCAGCAGGAAAACTCTTGAAGATCATCTGAAGGAGCAGGATATCCAGACACCCTGTGTTCAGTTCTACCACTTGTTAGCCGTGTATAGAGAAATATCTTAAGTCTTTTTGTACCTCAGTTTCTGCATCTCTAAAATCAGAAAATATCAATACATCTGTGGTTGCCAACAGAATAAAAAGTTAATGTATGCAGCTATAACATTCTGCATGTTAGCTATGAATACGGTAAATATTTCAGCCTCAAGTATTAGTCTTTAAAATTAGAGAAATAAAATATGCTTTTATTTCCTCAATAATGTTCAAATTTCATGTTAGCATAGGCAATAAAATAATTCTAGTTAGTGCCTTTATGCAAGAAACAATTTACTCAGATTTATTAGGCCCGATAGTTGTTTTTCTACACTTAAAATTAGATGGGGTTCAAGCTGTAGTCATATGTCAAAAAAGGTTGGCCCAAATTAGATGGAGCCATAATTATTTCATGCTTTCACAAAAAATAAAAATCTTAAAAATAGGGTTACAATGGATATAAAAGCAACTCCAAATTGCAGAGTTCTAATATAAAGACTTTGGCCTTAGGATTAAATGTGGAAAATTATTTTAAATGATGGTATTCAGTAATCCTAGATATCATTCAGAAGGAGTTCAGGATGAATTTCTAAATAGGCTCAAGAAGAATTTACGTATATCATAAATAATGCACTGAGGAAATTATGGATATTTAGGTTACATAATTACATTCAAAGATTTTTTAAGAATAATTTGGAAGAAAATGATAATTCCCTTCCCAAAGAAATCTTTATTGCTTCTGTGAGAGACAAAATATTAGCTCAGTTAGATTATTTTAATTGAGCAGAATGATTATTATACACATAGATATTATTAGTGAATATTAGACCCTGCAGAATAGCAGAAGGAATTGTAAATTTGAATCAGAGTTGGGGTGCATATGTGCGTTTTGATTCCTTATAGCCATATGGCTATAGTGTAAAGACTAAAAGAAGAAAATTTGCTATGTGGAAATTCAGAAATAAGACTAATTGATTGATAACTGTTAAGTGAAATTGATAATACTATTCATACAGAGTGTTTTAAATTAGTCCTAAGAGTGGCAAAGATTTTAGGCCACAAAAATTTACATATTCTTTCTTCAAGCATGTCTGCTTTCATAATACTTTTGAAGTCTACATATGCATACATGTTCATGTTTAGAGTGAATGTTTACAATTGCATACATCAAGAAAAAAATTCGTTTCCTTCTTCAAAATTTCATAATAATCTCTTCCTGAGTGAGGTAGACATGTTCAATCATATTTTGTTCTCTTTCTGTCTTTCTCTGTGTATCTACACTCAGGGTTCCTGCTGCACACACAGTGAGCCATATAACCCCATCTCCAGTGTCAGTTAATTCAAAAGGGACAGATTCTGATTCACACTTCATTAGTCTGTGATTCTGTCTATGAAGCTGGGATTTCTATCAAGGATACTTCAATTCTACTTTGGGAATGGCTTAACCAGAGAAGCAGAGAAAGAAAATTGTCAGAGAGAATAAAAAAAATATATATATATATATATATATATATATGGAATCAGACTCAGTAGAACTGAGAGAAGAAACCAGGTAGCTCTAGAAACTTGACTACTATCCTAGCAGATTTTGATTTTCATGTAAGTCCCAACTGTGCTTTCTGCTCTTGGTTTAATTAAAGTGCACCATTTTCCCTTATATTAAATTCTCCATTTCTGCTTAAGCCAGTAGGAGCAAATATTCTTTACCTTCAACAAAATAACTTTCCTCCAGAATAAAAATGCACTGGCTTGCATAGTTTCTATATTTGCAGTTGAAGAAATTAATATTGTACCCAATGCAAGAGGCAGATTCACAAGTTAAACTGTCAGTGACAAAGCTGCATTAAGACTCAGTTATTCCATTCTACTGTTAAATATTATTTTCATATAGTCCATTCTATTCACTTTTATGTTATTTTCCTGTTTATATCCCCCTATTATCTTGCCCTCCTCCCCACTAGCTCTCATGTAGCTTACACTTTGGCAAAGTACTGCAATTTGGTGAGAAAAAAATTAATCCAAGGCAAACACTACAGCATTTCACAGGCCTTCAGTGAAGGGAAAGCAGCTTTTGGAGTACACCATTTTAAATGTAGGAATTTTACTTCACCACAAACAACAGTACCTTCCTGGAGGACCTCTTTGAAATATAAGAAATTGTATATTATCTGTAGTTTATTAGGCTCTAACAGAAAGAAGAGATCAAAGATATAAGGAATCACTCATTTATTCATTTATGAAGAGTCCTTACTCATTTTCTTACAGGATAAGACTACAGATCTAGAGTATGAGGAACATAATCCAACCAACAAGCATTTTTAGCGCCTTACAATCAAGATCAAAGCCTTCTAAAAATCCAGCTGTGAGTTTCTTTTAATTAGCTCACTACTCAGTATACCACATATTGCAAGTATTCCTTCTTGAATAACTTCCTTGAATAATGCAGCTGGGAGTATAGTCAGTTGAGCATTAATGCAGCTGGGTAGCTGAAAAGATGAAAATCAAATGTGAATTCTGATGAAGTAATTTCATTTTGAGCTTTTCATATTTCTTCCCCCCTAAATTAAAAAGAAATGAAACCTTGAGTTCAGCTGGTTCACTACCTACTTCATGACAACTCACATTTTCAGATAATAGAAGTATTTTGCCCAAAATGAATACTAAACATAAAATTCTATCTTCTCACCTAATGGTGAAACATTTTTTATGTATGGAGCCTATAGTAATTTGTTCTGATGACATAATAGCTGACCTTGTTTGTGAAGTAAGGTGAACATGTTACTATCGGTAATAGAGTTTAATGTTGCTGTAATTACTGATTATAAAATGCTGTCTTGTCTAAAAACATTCATATATGTTCAGTTTCAAGAATAATACTATTGAGGAATAACTATAATGCTTATCCTGAGATAATCTTTCCATTTTTGAAATAGTATCAGTACATTTTCAAAGATCATTTTTTCACCTCATACTTATAATGCAATAAATGTCTTCAGGAATTTAATCAGTTGATAGCATTATAATTTAGAACAATAAACCCATGAAATTGAATTATTATAATGGAAATTTTTCCTTGTTCTAGTTACATATAAGGCAGCCTATTTTAATTATAAGTTTGAGTTTTATCTCTTTTTGTTTTACATTAATATTTAAATATATTGGACTTTATAATTTTAGAGTATAAAGTGCTATTTTTTCATTTATTGATTTATTAATTTATTCATCAAACAAATATTTTTTGAGAGCTCATTATGTGCCATGTGGTATGCTAGGTACTGAAAATACAAAAATGAGCAATTCAAGTCTTGGCTTTCAGCTTCACAGTTATTTAGAAAAAGAGAGACCACCCACAAATAGTGTCTACACATCTTCAGATTGGTTTAAAAATGTGACAATACTGAAAGCTGGCAAGGATGTGAAGAAATGACATCATTCATACAACGCTCATGATAATGAAAAATGGTACAGCTCCTGTAGAACCCAGTTAGGCAGTTTCCTATAAAACTAAACATGCAACTACCATATTATTCAGCTGTTATACTCCTGGGAATTTATCCCCGGGAAATGAGCATTTATGTTCACATAAAAAGTTGTTCCTAAATTTTTGTAACAGCTTTATTCGTAATAGCCCAAACTGGAAACACTTCAAATGTCCTTTAAAAGGTGAATGGTTAACAAACTGTACATACACATCATGGAATATCACTCAGCAATGAAAAAGAACTAATTGGCCCAGCGAGGGGGCTCACGCCTGTAATCCCAGCACTTTGGGAGGCTGAGGCGGGCGGATCACGAGGTCAGGAGATCGAGACCATCCTGGCTAACAAGGTGAAGCCCCATCTCTACTAAAAATACAAAAAAATTAGCCAGGGGTGGTGGCGGGCGCCTGTAGCCCCAGCTACTCGGGAGGCTGAAGCAGGAGAATGGTGCGACCCTGGGAGGCGGAACTTGCAGTGAGCCGAGATTGCACCACTGCACTCCAGCCTGGGCGACAGAGCGAGACTCCATCTAAAAAAAAAAAGAAAAAGAAAAAGAAAAAGAACTAATTGCTGATACATTCAACAACTTAGAAAAAACTCCAGGAATTTATGCTTAATGAAAAACATCCAATCCCAAAGGTTACATACTACATTTTTATATTTATATACTATTTTATAAGTGACAACATTTTAGAAATGAAGAACAGATTAGTGGCTGCCAGGAATCAGGACAATGGGTAAGAGAGAGAAGTGAATGAGTTTATAGAAAAGCAAGATGAGAGATCTTGACTGTACTGATGGATGCACAAATATACAGTTGTGGTAAAATTGTATAAAACTAAATACACATACATAATCAAATGAAGACAAGTAAAAATCACAAAATCTGAATAAGATCAGTGGTTTGTATTGATTCTATTATTCTGGTTGTGACATTCGAGTACACTTTTACAAAGTCTTCCCATTGGAGAAACATAAGTAAAGGGTACATAGGATCTATTATTTCTTATAGCTGCATGTGAACATATAATTATCTTAATATATTTTAAATAAAAATAGTATAATAAAATGAGAGAGTTGCTTTTACAGAATTCTACATAGTATATAGTAGGACCATAAGGCAATTGTGTATACTTTGTATATTTTTCCATTGAACGATTGTTTGATTCATTCATTTATTCATTTAGTATATTTGTTGAGCACCTAGAATGTGGTAGGCATGAGATTGGTAACGGTACATGAAGTGCACAGACATTACTGGCCTTTTATTGCTTCTATTCTAGTGAAGAGATAGACGTTTATTAAAAAGTGAGTATAAGATATATTGTTAGATTGAAAAGTTTATGGGAAAAAAATAAGGCAGAAAATGAGTAAGAAAAAAATACAACAGGTAGGGTGGGGTGGAGTAGTTTTCTAGATCATGTAGTGCCTTGTCAAGCATGGAAAATATTTTAACATTTTACTCTGAGTGAAATGGACAATCTTGAAGAAAAATACCTTTTTATTTTATTTTATTGTTATTGTGTTCTTGAAGTATATTTAGAGAAAATTGAACTTATTATATGTGTAAAGCTGGGTGAATTCTGAATCCGACTTGTTTTCAACACCCAGATAAGGGTGGTGGCTCGCCCCTGTAATCCCAGCATTTTGGGAGGCTGAGATGGATGCATTGCTTGAACTCAGGAGTTCAAGATCAGCCTGGGCAAACTGGCAAAACCCTGTCTCTACAAAAAATACAAAAATTAGCTGGGTATGGTGGGGTGTGCCTATAGTTCCAGCTACTCGGGAGGCTGAGATGGGAGGATGGCTTGAGCCCAGGAGCCAGAGGTTGCGGTGAGCCAAGATCATGCCACTGCATTCCAGCCTGGGCAATAGAGCCAGACCCTGTCTCAAAATAAATAAATAAATTAATTAATTAATCAATAAATAAAACAAAACAAAAATATAAAATAAAATAAAGCACCCAAATAAGAAAGAAAACATGGAGTCCTGCAGTTTACTACAGACTTCCTTCTGGTCACAGCAAATCTATCAGGGAAACATGTAGAGAGATATAAATAAAATTAGCTTCTCTAATTTGGAGACTATCTTGTGGATCTGCAGGCAAAAGATCTGTTTTTGAATGTTTGCTCCACCTCTAGCTATTCACGTGGCATTTAGTTTTTTTCATTTATTAAGTGAAAATAATGAACTTAGTTCACAGGAGGTAATGTATTAAAGTGCTTAAATTATTACATAATGTGCACATTAAAGTTATTATTACAACAAATAAAAGCCTTGGTTTACTTAACAGCTACAAGTCTAATTGTTTTTAAGGAGTTTTATTATTTGAACATTATATTGAGGTATTCTAAATTTCCAATTTAATTCTTACACTCTCCTGGTAATTCTAGTATCTTATAATTTGTTTTGCAATAAATATTTTTCACCAAACACCAGTTTAAGAACATGACTTTCTCTAAGTATGTTATTAAAATTGACATTTTAAATAATATGCCTTTTTATGCTGATTAAATGTGGCCAAAGTTTGTATAAAGAAAATACACTTTGTTTCTTAGGTGATAAATCTATGTACATTTCTAAGAAGTCTCTGTTTTTTTTCCAAATAAAATATATCATTTCTATGCTAAATTTTTATTAGGTTTTCTTTCCTAAGAGTCTTGGTTTCCCACTGAGAGGTTGAATTAAAAAAATGGTTACGTCTACTTATAAAATTCAATAAAATTCATTAACCCTCTTAAGTCACTTCATTTTCACTTATGTAATAGGGTTTCTTTCTTTCGTTCTATTCTACAGGTGGTATACATGTCACAATTTTTTTCCACAACAAAGAAATAGCATAATAGCCATGTACTACTTCTGACTTAGACTATTAAAAACTTTTTCCTTTTTGATCAAACTCTAATAATGTGATATTTTTCAGTTTTTTGAATTCAAACTGGAAGTAGTATAAGCAAAACCCCACAAAGTTTATTATATTTAACTGCGGGATAATATTTTGTAATTAACATTAAATGTTGAGGTTTCAATTTGAGTTTAAATAAATGAGTCAACCATTCATTCAGATCATGAACATTCAGTTGTCCCAAACGTGTCTAGTGCATTCTTTCATGTTAGAGAACTTCTCAAATTAGACTTGGTTTATTTTTCTATGTAAAATTAAAAAGGCATACTTTATGATGTTAATGGTGTCTTAAAACAAATACCAGTAAAACAAAATAAGGGTCCTCAGTGGCACAGAGTAACTGGACTCTGATCTTTGAGCAAACAATTATCAAGTTAATCCTGTGTACTGGGGGTGGGTAAATAATGAGATAATGTGTAAGTTGTTCCATGGGGAAGCTAATATTCTAGTGATAATTGAGCTTTGACTGTCTTATTTCATAACCAATATCCTAGTGATAATTGAGCCTTGACTGTCTTATTTCATAGACTCTGAAATAAGTCAGGCTTCTTATAATTTCATCATTTACATAGAATTAAATTAAACCAAATACCTTATGTCAGCCTACTTTCTCACAAATTATTAAAGACAAGGAGATTATGTATACAATTTTAAATACTTTCACATTTTTTTATATTACTGTACTTGATTCACTTCCTTACATTAATCCTAGGAATAAAGCAAAGGAAAATGAATATTTCATTTCTGATTTTTAAAAGTATCATTTTATTTCCAACAGTTATATCATTTTGTGTGTTGTTTATTCTTGATGAATGAATTTAACTAGAACCTGAGAAATGAAAAATCATTCCAAAATTAGATTCAATCTATTTCAATACAGTGACAATTTTCTTCAACAATTGCACTTGATAAAGATATATTTAAGTAGTCTCAAACAATGCTAACCATAAAATTTAAACTCATGTTTTAATAGTGACAGATTTCTTTTCAATTTTGGAGTCGAATTTTTAAAACATTTTAAAAAATGTTATCTTCATCATCATGAGATAACAGGATTATGTACGTCAGAACAGAGCTCTGTACTTGCAGAAAATAAATTTGATCAAGACATATAAATTACATATACCAATGAGAACATTTCTATCAAGCATTACAATAAGCCTACCAATGAGGGTATTTTTTAACTATATCACTCTCCTCTGGATAGTCTTAGAATTACAACCCTCATCTAATGGAAATTTTTTAGAACAAGGAAATGACTATAAGAAGCTGTTTAGATTTAGGTCATCATGTTTGCATTATAACTCCATTATCTCCATTATGCATTATAACTCCATTATAACATAGGGATGGCCTCCTGACTAAAAGGCAGCCTATAATTAGTCTAGACAGCAATCTATGAGGTAGTCAATAGAAAGATGAGCAGATTCCAGTTGATAAAATTTCCCTGGAAAGATTACAAACTCAAATGCCTATAGCGTCCAAATAACATTTGTTATAATGTTTGTAATTTTTTGAAAAATGCTTGAGCATACGAAGTGCAATATGCATTAAGTTACATTCCAGGTGAATTCATTTGCTCAGATCAGTCCCTTATCATCTAGGGTAGTTAGCACTTAATCAGAAAGACCTCAATTAAGCGAGATGGCTATTTTAAGTGCTGCAAGCCATCCATCTACATACGAAGTTTACTATTTAGCAAAATAAATGTCACAATCTTCTTGTGAAAATATTGAAATTCATTTTTTTCAGATTAGCTAAAATCCTTTTGGAGGTATGCCTTGTAAGTGATTTTTTTTTTTTTTTTTGTGACACACCTCACATCCTCTCAGCCTCACCTCTACTTCCAACAGTCACTGCAATAAACACTCCATGCAGCTTCCATATAGTTTATAGTTACCAATATCCTACCAAACTTGATGTGCCCCTTATGTGGAACCCTAATAGATCAATAAGTCAACAGGAACCTGGAAGGAGCCAGGCTGGTGGAACAGAGACCTACCCCATTTGCATTCACTTTGTGTGGAAAAACCACAGCCACTATCTTGCAAATGGACAGTATGCGGGTTGCAAAATGGCTAAAAGCAGCAGAGCATTTCCTTTGGGCAGCTGGAGCAGAAAGGCCTGGCAGTAAAAAAATTACTCCAACATATTCTTAGCGTACAGCACAAACTCACCCGCATGTACCTGCTTCCAGCAGGACCTTGTAAAACTTACCTCCACCATCTGCTTCTTTGCAGACAGCCACTTCTCTGCTATGCTGCATGTTGCATCTTTGCAGTGTATCTTCATACTTTCTCTAATAAATCTGCCTTTCTTTATCTACAGCTGTTTTGGCTAATTTCTTTCTTTTTTTTTTGGAGATGGAGTCTCGCTCTGTCACCCAGGTGTTTTGGCAAATTTCTTTACCACCTGTGACACCAACCCCAAAAGTCATTGCTCACAACACTTTTTTTAGTTTAAGATGGAAATATGAGCAAAGTATCTTATACATCAAGCATTTATTGTCATATCTAGCAGATTGATGATCTGTGTAACATTGATTTCTGTCAGGTGTTTTTCCTGTGCTCAAATACGTTAAGAAAATACAACTTAAAACAATGTTAAGTAGGTTAATTTATTAAAGGACGACATGGAGCATTTATTATTTAGTTTTAGAAGAATTCAGGATTTATTCTAGTCTACATGTGGATAACAAGAACTTAAAAACAATAAACAGTGCTACAATCTTATAACGGGTATATTATAATTTTTCTTTAGAAACATCAGTTATTTTTCTCTACATAGAAAGCTCAGGTTTAAAAACTTCTTGAGGCTATGAAGCCAAACCAAGGCTGACTTCAGGTTTTTGGGCCTGCCAGAAAGTACCAATTTTTATTCACTTACTTTAAGAGTCTTGAAATCAGGCATTGTATGTATTGTCTCAAAAATGATTTAGTCAAAGCTTTGGTGATAAAACCAATGTTTCCGATTGTATGCTGTTATAAAGATAGAGCAGTGCAGGCATGATGGCTCAGGACTATAATCCCTGCACTTTGGGAGGCCAAGGTGGACAGATCCCTTGAGCCCATGAGATTGACACCAGCCTCAGCAACATGGCAAAACTCTGTCTCTAAAAAAGTACAAAAATGAGCCAGGCATGGTGGTGCGCCTGTGGTCCCAGCTACTCAGGAGGATAAAGTAGGAGAATTACCTGACCCCAGGAGGCAGAGGTTGATTGTATCAGCTGTGATTGTACCACTGCACTCCAGCCTGGGCAACAGAGAAAAACCCTGTCTCAAAAAAAAAATAAAAATAAAAATAAATAAATAAAAAAAAGACAAAGCAGATTTTTAACATATGCGAATAACTATATTGTTATAAAAATAAAAATATTTATAAATAGTTTTGAATTTTCAAAACATCTAATAGCAGAAAAAAGCAAGTGCTGTCACCATTGTTCACACCCAAACTTTACTTACTTATTTATTTATTTATTTATTTATTTATTTATTTATTAGAGACGGAGTCTTGCTCTGTTGACCAGGTTGGAGTGCAGTGGTGCTATCTTGGCTCACTGCAACCTATACCTCCCGGGTTCAAGCAATTCTCATGCCTCAGTCTCCGCAGTAGCTGAGACTACAGGTGCATGCCACCACATCCGGCGATTTTTTGTATTTTTAGTAGAGACGGGGTTTCACCATGTTGGCCAGGCTGGTCTCAAACTCTTGACCTCAACTGATCCACTTGCCTTGGCCTCCCAAAGTACAGGGATTACAGGCATAAGCCACTGGGCCTGGGCCCAACCTTTAATATCCTAAAGTATACTGTGACTCCTAAATAAAGAGAATTTACAAAATGTATATAATTGTGTCATTCACAACCAGAAAAATACACAAAGACAGAGGAAAGCTATAGCAAGGTATTAACACTACTTATATGTGGCAAGCTATATCTGGTTTCTAATTTAAAACTCAACAAGAGCAAATGCTACATTTATAAATAAAGAAAAAACAAAGTGTTATATATTTTCATCTCCCCATATTCATTATTTTACGCATTTTTTCTTTACTGTCAGGCAAACAAAATGATTTGCTCATGTTAGGGTATTAACCACCATTTTCTTTGCCAATGGCAGAAGGAGTGTGTTAAGCTCCCTATGAAAAAAGTAGGAATTTTTTCCTGATTAGAATTGATAGAACATATTTATTTTTCCCTGACAAGGCACTTGATACGTGATAAAAATTGGATCTATCTGAATCCCTCTTTAAAGAACTTGGAAAGTTGTGTATTGCAAAAAATAAAAATATTTCACCACAAAATATGCTTATTTGACATATTTGGAGATGGGTTTCAGAGGACCCGCCATTAGACGTGGCCCTGCAAAGCTGTATTTTCTGGGTATATTTGCATCTGTAGAGAAAATCTGCATTTATGCAGCCAGGGTTTCTCCGAGAGCTTTTCCTTGTCTGGCTGTAGGAGAGATTCACTCAGAGTCTGACAACTTTAGAAGTCTGAAAGAAGCATTCACTATCTATTCTCTCTGAGGGATGCTATCTATGAAATTTATCCATATAAAGAGATCAAATTTGCTAGAGAAGCCTCCTCTTTTCCCCCTCCCATAACCTGTTTTGCCACTATCCAAAAACCCCATTATTTCTGTAACCTCAAGATAGTGCATAAGCTTTTGAACCTCATTGGGGGATTGGGGTACTCACTCTGTGGCTCTCTTCCATATGTGCATTAATAAATTTGTATGCCTTTTCTTCAATTAATCTCCTCTAATGAGTTGATTTATCAGTGGGTAAGCTTTCCCTTGGCCCCTATTGTACTTTTCCAAACAGTGAGACTGGAGTAGTCCAGGCAAAACAATGAAGTTACAGGTACTCATTCTTACTAAAGACAGTGCAGCAAGCAAGAAGTCAGTGAATCACCGTTGTCTTCAATTTGCAGGATCAAGTTAACTTTTAGCGCATCTCTTATTTTTCTTCTTATTGACATCATTCTGTATGATGCAATCCCCTTCTAATTTCCTCAACAGATTTCCCTAAAATAGAACTAACTAGATTTTATATGGCACCTAAAATAATTAATATTTGCATCATAAGAATATCATTTTAATATCATTACTTTACTAAAACAGGGGTTCTACTTATCAGCAAACTACAGAAGATTATGAAGATTGCTACTACATTTAGCCATCTTCGGTAATATGTATGAAATAATGCAATAAGTCCATAGCTTTGTTTGCTTTTGTGTCTTTCCCTTATCTTCCCACAAGCCTTAAATACTTTAAGGTCTACAGTTCTGTGCATTTGCTCCTTACTACAGTAATTTATCTGCTTGAAATATTTTATTCTACTGAATAATATTGATGTGATAATGTGTGTTTAATAACTTACAGAATTACAGTACACAATACAACTTTCAGGTCTTTCATGAAGCCTTTAAATAGATGCACCAGTTGCTATCTCTCAGAAACAGGAAATTAGGTTGGATGGACCATTGGTTTGGTCTAATAATACAACACTCTAAACTAAAGTTGCCTGGAATTGATATAGTGTTTCTAAAATGCTTCATGCAATTTCTTCATTAGCTTTTGTGATTTACTTGCCTGTATTTTAACAGATGAGTAAATTTAATAGTCCTAACAAAACCTATATGCAGTATAATACATCATTCTCTTTGTAAGAAAGTATGGACACAACATTACATTACCAATCCTTAGAAAAATAATGAGACAGTTATTACAAAGACTTATTCCCCATGAGAGTATGTAGTTTATAAACTGTTGTAGCCCTTCTTGAATTAAAAAAATAATTAAAATGGCAACATTTTATCTAAAATTAGCTTCATATTATGTCTGTCTTTCTTATTAAATTATCCTGTTAAATTATTTATTAAATTATTAAATTATCCTGTTAAATAATTTATTAAATTATTAAAATACTGTCTAGAATCAACATTCCAGGTGTTTTACTATTTACAAAAACTAGACTAGGACCACTTAATTTAAATAGCATTTGTACCAAATATTTGCTTGTTTTGCAACATGATACACAAACTGACACTCACTGTTTCCACAGACCCTTACCATATGGAGAAGCTGTACTTTTTATCACACAGTGCCTACACCTAGCACTGCAGGTGTTGCAGCTATAGCCAGGTTCGGGCAACCTATTGTGTAATTGCAACTCAGTGGCCATTGCCTTCATAGATGAACTCTTATTTCAACATCACAGATGGCTGAAACAGGTTCACTGATTATTAGAATTGATAGCACATGACTCGTTGTGACATGAAATATAGAAGATATTTTTGTCAGAGGAAGGGTAAATAACCAGCTGTATTAGCTATTTAATTTCTAGACATTCATATGAAAAGTATAGTTGTTGAAAATCTATACTATTGAAAACTGTCATTTAATTTAATACATACCTGACTTAAGAAAAACTTTTATAAAGCCTGTAATTCACCTGTTTGTAGAATAATTTACAAGAAATCTAGTGTGATGAGTTTTATATATCAAAGTTAGTTTTCACAACACAAAAGAGTGTGTATTTCAATGAGGGTAGACTATAGATAATACAACTAGAAAAAACATTTAACCTATTGTAGTAATTATGGAAATAATATATAGTTCAATAGTCAGTACAGATTTCATGTAGTGCATGCCCTTCTAAATTGGCAGTTGAACTCTGAGATACTTGGAGTTATAAAAGTACATAACAAGTAGAAAGGTTTGTTGTTTATGCATTTGAAAATGCAGTTTTTATAACAATGAAAAACTTATAAATAAACTAGGTCAGCTGGATAATTCGAGGAACAATCTGGATGAATAGCTGACTGATTAGAATTGTCTATAGCTTTGGGATTCTTTCCCCTCTCCTCCCTCCAATTTAATCAAGTGTAAACTTTTAAAATGTGTATAATGGCAATAATATTATGGTGTTACAACAGATTAGAAAAATAATAAATTTTGACATGCAAGGAAGTTGTATTTCGGGAGGGGGGAGCCATGGTCCCCTAAAGAGGACTCAGCAAGCCATGGAAGGTGAAGGCTTTACTAGTAACAGCAATGCAGACTTATTAGATTTTCTGGCTTTTTTGTCTCTTTGTGCTTAGAAGAGCATGGTGAGGGTGAATGGGTTCATAATCAGTTCCTATCATTCCAACCTAAGATTCAGATTACTTTCTTCTATGCAATGAAGTCTACTTGTTGTTTCAGTCTAGATGGTCAGCTTGTGGTCTTCCATGGCTCATCTCAATTCTTTAAAAATTGTTTTCTTCAATCATAGATTCCAGAAATTTGCTAATCATATTTATAATAATTAGTTTGAATAGTATATGTAGTTAGAATTAAGTTTTCCCTGTAGGTTTATCATTCCTTTTTTTCAGACAGAATTGTCTCTGGAATAAAAAGCTCAGCTCTTGGTCTTGTTTTATCTCTGGCGAGGATGCTTTATCATGCAATTTCCTTAAGGGGAGCTTCCTGGTGGATTCTATTCTCTCCCACTCCAACCACAATGTCTTTGCCCTATGAGTTTTTATTTGTCTGTTTTGATGCTTTGCAGTTACCACCTTACCTATTCTGTTTCCTTTCAGGAATCTAAATACACAAAAGAGCTTAGATTTTCCTGAGAATCTTTTGCTTTCTCTTTCTCAAGACCTGCCAGCTCTCACTATGGCTTCTCGCTAGGGCAGCTAGCTGGAGCAAAGACATGGCCTGGCTATTTGTGTCTATAGTCTTTTAATTACTCTGATTACTGTGCCTGCAAACCACTCCTTCTCTTCACACTTGACAAGATCTGCCTGTAAACTGGATTTTATTACACAAAATTTGGGCTGTGTTTTCCTCTACCCCGTATTCACTATTGTATTAATAACCACCTTTGTATGCCATTTACTAGGAATTCTGCAAAATGTCATGCTTTTGGTGATGCCTGTGCTTCTGAATTCCCAATGGTTTTTAAGGGCTTTTCTTTTGGTACAACTTAAATAAATAGAATTTTGAGAAATAAATTTATGTATTTTGTGCAATGTCTTCAGTCAAAAGTCATCTTTGAAGAAATTTAACAATCTTCTATCTATTACCTATTTGTTGTTCATCTATTTTGAATGTTAAAAAACAGAAGACTCCTACATAGCAACTGCCAGCCTTTGAAATATAAAATTAATTAGTAGGAAGTTTACCCTATGCAAATGAAAAGAAGAGAATTGTCAAGTTATAACAAGGAGAAAGAGTAGTTAACTATTTTTACTAATTATCTTAGCCCAATCTGAAACTCAGAAGACCTATGCAGAAGGAAATGTCAACTAAAGTTCATTTGAATATGTAGGCATTAACTTCAATTAATAATGGGATTTAAGGACTAGAAAGAATTAGAAAATATCATAATAAAATGATTATTATAAAAGGACATCTAAGACAATATTGTATATCTTATTAAGGATGTCTTGTTTCATATTCCTGTGATGAAGCTCTCTCAAACTTAAAAGATGTCAGTTTATACCAACAAACTGGTAGATTTCCAAGGAATAGGGTTTTTTTTTTTAATAGAATAACAGATGAGTTATTATCTAAAATGTTTTCCTTTCCTCCTTGATTTTTGAAAGCTTAGAGGTGCTTTCTGCTCAGTGATGTTTACAGGCAGAAAGTTAAAATTGTACTTTAATTTATTATTTGATGTTTGTCTTGTGTTTTTACTTGTGTTTTACTATAAAACCACAAAATGTGTGCTTTACTTTGTCTTATATTTCAACTATAAAGCATTGTGAATAATTTTTTGGATGTCGATAGTAAATGAAAATAGAAATAATTTTTTAAACATGTAGGCTTTTTTTTTTCCGATTGAATAGGAGCTTCACCTTGTACCTTTTGTGAGAGGAAGGGAAATCTGCAATGTAATGTGTCTAACTTTCTGCCAAAAAGAGCACCCGAATATATATTATGTGAATAGAGAAGAAAATCATTAGGCAATCTTCTCATTCTCTGCCATCTCAGGGTAGTTTTCATTTTATCATTTTGGACATTTTGATTTTACTGTATTCACATGCTTCTCCATTAAGAATAAGCGCCTAAGTTATTATCCATGCCCCACACATGATATGGTGAATAAAAACCATTAAATGTTTTTCTAATGTTCCTGTTATCATAAATGTGCCTAATTGAATAAAATGTTTTAAAAACTTTTATTTTTGAGGAAGATAAAGGTTAGAGTACCATTAACAGAAAATGCTAATTCCACTAAGAGAGGAATTTCACTCACATAAATAAATAAAAGAAAATGAATTTTAATGATTGCCTTTAGAGTAATCAATTATGACAAATTTTATAGACTGCTAATCACATGTATCATGGCAATGCTTTGAAGTAACTATCATCACTTGGCATATATTAAATAAATTAATCCAATATATTTCATCAGCATAATTTGCATATAAAATCTATTTTAGAAACGTAATACAGACAAACCTCAGATATATTGTGGGTTCAGTACTACCAACACAATGAAGCAAATATTTCAACAAAGCTAGTCACGTAAATTTTCTGGTTTCTTGGTGCATATAAAAGTTATGTTTAGACTATACTGTAGTCTATTAAATGTGCAATGACATTATGTCTAAAAAATGTGCATACATACTTTAAATAAAAATACTTATTATTAAAACACATGCTATTATAACAATACACTAAGCCTTCAGCAAGTCATAATCATTTTGTTGATGTAAAATCTTGCTTCTATGTTGTTGGCTGCTGACTGATCAGGATAGTGGTTGCTAAAGGTTGTTGTGGCTTTGCAATTTCATAAGATAATACAGCAATGAAGTTTGCCATATTAATTGACTCTTCCTTTCATGAAAGATTTCTCTGTAGTCTGCAATACAGTTTAATCGCATTTTACTCACAGTAGAACTTATTTCAAAATTGGAGTAAATCCTCTCAAGCCTTGCTACTGCATTGTCAACTGCATTTCTGTAGTATTCTTTGTTGTCATTTGTATAATATTTTTTGTCGTCATTTCAACAATGTTTATACCATCTTAACCAGGAGCAAATTTCATCTCAAGAAACCACTATCTTTGCTCAACCATAAGAACAAGAGCCTCATCTGTTTAAATTTTATCATGAGTTTTGATATTCAGCATGAATATCAATGAAACTTCAGCAATTTAATCACATCTTTAGGCTCCACTTCAAATTCTACTTCTCTTGCTATGTCTACCACATCTTCAGTGACTTCCTCCACTGAAATCTTGAACTTCTTAATATTATCCAGGAGGACTGGAATAAACGTCTTTTAAACTCCTATAAATATTTCTACTTTGACCTCCTCCCGTGAATTATGAGTGTTCTTAATGGCACTTAGAATGATGAATTTCTTCTATAAGTTTTCAATTTACTTTGCCCTGATCCATCAGAAGAATCACTATCTATAATAATAATTATTACTTTATAAAATATATTTCTTAAATAATAAGTCTTGTTTACTCCTTTACCTGTGGGCTGCAGAATGAATTTTGTATTAACAGACATGAAGCCAACATTTCCCTTTCTGTAAATCTCCATCAGAGCTATGGGGTGACCAGATGCATTATCAGTGAGCGGCAATATTTTAAAAAGATTTTGTTGTTGTCGTTTTTCCTGAGTAGTAAGTCTCAACTGTGGGCTTAAAATACTCAGTAAACCAAGCGGTAAACAGATGCTTTGTCATCCAAGCTTTGTTGTTCCACTTAGAAAGCTCGAGCAGAGTAGATTTAACATAATTCTTAAGAGTCTTAGGATTTTGGAATGGTAAATAAACGTTGGCTTCACCAGCTACATTAGCCTCTAAAAAGAGAGTCAGCTTGTCCTTTGAAACTACGAAGACAGGCATTGACAGATCCTCTTTAGCTATCAAAGTCCTAGATAGCATCTTCTTTCAACAGAAGGCTGTTTCATCAACACTGAAATCTATTGCTTAGTGTAGCTGCCATCATCAATCATCGAGATATTCTGGATAACTTGCTGCAGCTTCTACATCAGCACTTGCTGCTTTACCTTAGAAGGGATTTGATGTGATGCGATGCAATGTGATGCTATGCTATGTTATGTTGCTATACGTTTTGTAGATGGCTTCTTTACTTCAACCTCATGAACCAATCTCTGCTAGTTTCTAATTTTTCTTCTGCAGCTTCCTCACCTCTTTCAGCCTTCATAGAATTCAACAGAATTAGGACTTTTCTCTGGATTAATCTTTTGCTTACAAAAATGTGATGTTCTATCCTGAACACTAAAACTCTCTCCATCTCAGCAAGAAGGCTGTTTTGCTTTCTTATCATTTGTGTGTTCACCGGAGTAGCACTTCTAATTTTTTTCAAGAAATTTTCTTTTGCATTCCAATGTGGCTGTTTGGCATAAGAGGTCTATTTTTGGCCTATCTCAACTTTTGGCATCCTTTCCTTATGAAACTTAATCATTTCTAGCTTTTGACTCAAAGCAAGAGACATGCAGAGTCTTTCTTTCACTTGAAAACTTAGAGGCTGTGTAGGGTTATTAATTGGCCTAATTTCAATATTGTCGTGTCTCTGGGAATGGGGAAGCCTGAGGAGATGGGGAGAGATGAGGGAATCAGTGCAGCTGTCAGAGCACACACAATATTTATCAATTAAGTTCACCCTCTGATGTGGGTGTAGTTTGTGGTTCCCTAAACAATTACAATAGTAACATCAAAGATCACCAAATAGAGATCACCATAAAAAAATAATGAACTAGTCCATTTGCGTTGCTATAAAGGAATACCTGAGTCTGGATAATTTAAAAGAAACTAGGTTTCTTTTGACTCATGGTTCTACAAGGTAAACAGGAAGCATGGTGTTGGCATTTGCTCCTGGTGAGAGCCTCAGGAAGCTTTCAATCATGGCAGAAGGTGAAGGGGAAGCATGCAAATCACATGGAGAGAGAGGGAGTAGGAGAGAAAGTGGGGAGATCCCAACTCTTTTTAACAACCAGATATCATATGAACTCAGAGTGAGATCTCACATAGCACCCCAGGGAGGGCATCAGGCCATTCATGAGGGATCCACCCCCATGACTCAAACACCTTTCACTAAGCTCCACCTCCAACATTGGGGATCACATTCCAGCATGTGATTTGTAGTGGACACATATACCAAACTTATAATAATTATGAAAAAGTTTGAAGTATGAAAATTACCAGAATGTGATACAAAGGCAGGAAGTGAGGACATGTTGTTGGAATAATGGCACTGATAGATGTTCTCAACTTGTCACAAACCCTCAATTTGTAAAAATGCAGTATCTGCGAGCTCCAATAAAGCAAAGAGCAATAATGAGATATACCTATATCTAGATATTTTCTGCCACCACATCTGCTGCAAGTTGATTCTTTATCCTTTCAAATGCCAAGTGTTTCATTAAACACTTAAAATTTCACCTGGAACTAAGGCTCTCCACCTTGAAAGCCCATAGTATTTTTATCTGACTTGTGATCCTAATTTTGCTCCTCTCTTTATTAGACATGTTTTTGTACTTGCTTTACCTGTTTCCTTAAGATAAACAAACAAACAAAAAACAGTTCTTTTAGTGCTGTTTCTCTTCTTATTTTGTTTCTCTCTTGCAAAGTACATACTCTAGTGTCCTGTATATTATAAGCATAAAAATTTAAATCAGAATTTAAATACAAGCCTATAATCTTATAATATTCAATTTTTTTCAGTATACACATTATATTTATCATAAAGAAGTGGTAAACAGTAAGTTATTAGAATTGCTGATTAAACAATTAATAATTCTTCAGTTAAGAAAATTATCTTCAGATAAGACATATACGACAGATACACATACGAAGGAAATTATAGAACTAAAGGTTAAAATCACTCTCAGAAAATATATTTTCTATTCACACTATAGTGACTAAATATAAAACTATTGTCTGGGTTAATGGGGAGAATTCTGAGAAGGAAATAGGTAACCACAGATCTTTTCCTGAACGTATCATATTATGTCACTTTGGCAAATTTCCTTAATCTCTCTGTTTCTTAATTTTCTCACCTGCAAAATGGAATACTTTTTTTTCTATTAGCCTATAAAGTTCTTGTGATAACATACTTTGCTACTTGTTTGAAGCTCCTTGAAGATTACCAATTAATATGCAGGTATAAGTTTTATTATTAGTTTTACAAGTGGATATATTAATACCAAAAATTTCCAGAGGGGGACTATGGTAGTCTTCATCAACTAAGTACTAGAACACTAAGAAGCCATGATTATTATTTTTTAGTTTTAAAACTGTTTCCAGATTGATATGATTGATAGTTAAGAATAAGAAAAGTGCAATTTATTGGTTGTTACAGAGAAATGTTTCTTTTTTTGTTGTTTTGAGACAGAACCTTACTCTGTCAACCAAGATGTAGTGCAATGGCATGAATATGGCTCATTGTAGACTCAAACTCATGGGCTAATGTGGTCCTCCCTCTCTATCCTCCCAAGTAGTTGGGTCTACAAGCATGCACCACCATGCTTGGCCATTTTCATTTTATTTTGTAATGACAGCATCTCACCATGTTGCCCAGGCTGTTCTTGAACTCCTGGGCTCAAACAGTCTTCCCATCTCGGTCTCCACCTAAAGTCCTGGGATTAAAGCCATGAGCCACCACACTCAGCAGAAATACTACATTTTAATCAATGTGTATAAATATGTAGTTATGAGAGATGTTTAAACAATAGAAGATGAAGTTTGTTTTGGTCAAGTCTAGATTAAATTTGTTTTGCCTTTATTAAGCACGGGTTTTTATCTGTCAGCAGGAGCTATGTTGGTACAGTAAGAGCTGCCTATATTTTCAACATTAGTTACAAGGCTTCCAGCCATTTACCTCATTGAAGTAAATCTAGAAACATTTATTTACCTACATTAAAGGGAACACTTAAAATAGTAACATAGTACAACTACCAGAAACTCTAATCAACATTGTATTCTAAATGTAGCATTTTGTATACCCTCAGTTAATACCAGATTCTGAGATGTTGTCTTTGGTCCCTCCGATCACACAGTGTTTTTATTCTCTGGTGTTTGATTTAAATTCTCGGAGGTATTTTTTAAATATGGGCAGCTTTTCATTTTATATACACCCACAAGTCAGTTTATTCCTTTTCTGTTATGAAAACCAAAAGAAAGTTCATAAATTCTGGGAAATCATCTTTTTCAAAATCTAGAACAATATTTACCAAACACATTCAGGTATGTCTGACATTGTCTTTAGACAAACTGGGACACCTCCTATATTAACAAATGAAATGAAATCATCAACTGCAACTATAATCCTATGTGAATAGTTTTGAGAGGTCAGATAAATAAACTGTGTATTGTTTGCTTCTCAAAAGTCTCAAATTGTCTACTTCATGCACAGCTATCTCCTTCAGCTTTCTTTAAGCCTATACTTCTTTGATTCATGTTCCTCAGTTTCACAGAGGTTGTTTGTGTTAAGGTGACCAGCAATCTGGATCAAACCTAATTTGATGCTAATTTCTTCCTCACTACTTTCTTTACCTCTTAGTGGTATTTCACAACAACTCTATCATACCTGGAAACCCCGCTGCTGTCTCCCCCATTACTTTTGTGATATTTCTGCTTTTGTTTCCCTCTAAATTCACTGGCTGCTCCTCAGGTTCCTTTAATTTGTTTCTTCTTCTAATTTATCTGTAAATATGAGAGTGCTGCTGGGAGCTTCATTTTTACCTCTTGCCTATGTGATCTCATCTAATTTCATAGCCCTAAATAGGTTTTACCTGGTGATAGTGTGCAAATCTTTTTCTATCCCTGATATTTATTAGCATATTTAATAGGCATTTCTAACTTTCAAAATTAATATGTCCAACACAGAAACCTCGATATTTCCTCCTTTAGTAAAAAGTATCACCTCCCTTTCAGTTTCTTAGGTAAAAAATTCCACAAGTCATCTTTGATGCTTTTCTACCATAGCAAAAGAAATGATATTCTAAATTTTGTTTTGCTTCTGTATGTGAAGTTTTAATGTTTTAATGGCTTAACAAAATTACTTGAAAAGAACTTGACTTAAATGTATACCATATAATAAAATAGTAATTTGGAGAAATAGTCTTAATAGTTCAAAAAACTCCTACATTTTCTTGTTGATGCTTTGACAGATGACATACCAGAAAATCTCCAGTCATAGAAATAAAGATGCTGCAAATAACAACAGTTTCTACTCAGCTAATTGACAACCAGGGACATAAATACATCAAAGAGAATATATTATAATATTATTCAAGGGAACACAGTGTGTTAGGAAATGTGCAATGTTTATTAGTTGAAAATGAGAATGTATTTTTGAATTACAACATTAAACAGTTGGTTACCTCTTATAAATAAAAACACTAGCTACAAAAACAATTCTCTAATTGAAAGACTAATAGGCATTAATGATGAAATAAAGAAAGTATTTTTTTAAGTATTTAAAGTGTTTCTGTTTAAACAGTTTAGCAGAATTGTATACATTGTACTCGAAAACATCTTAAAAGTATAGTAAAATTTCATTATATAGTTTTTGTAGTGATTTTCATTCAACTGTAATAACCTAATTTCAAAGTCTTCTAGAAACCCCATGGGTGTCATGATTTCCACCCTTATTGTTTTGCCTTGTAATGCATATGATAGACATTCAAAAATAAATTGCATTTTCTTAAACAAAAATTATCTGACGAGACTATGAATATTAATAAAGGGCTCACCCTGGAGTCTCATTATGTGATATAGGAAATGTAATAAGAATAGCAATAAGAGTTTATATCTCACTTGTCTAAAGAGTGAGTAGGGAAATTTTAATCTTTTACAAAGTAAAATAATTTTTCTCCTGAAATTTTCTAGCTAATTGTACATTAAAAAGGGAAGAGAACTAATCGTCTTTGAACACCTGCTCCATGGCTCATATTGTGCTGCATGCATATTGCTTTGTTCATGGTAAAATACTCGAAAGTCTAAAGTAAAATGAGAAAAAAAGTATGTAAATTAGAGTTTTTTAAAAAGTTAAATATATTTGAAGTTCATAAGATTCTGTTTTTATTCTGAGTTTTAACCCTCTCTTGGTGTCCAAAAGTTTTTATTTTGTTATACGATAGTACAGGTAGATATGGAGTTTGCTTTTGTTTACTTGGAAAAAATAGAAATCCTATATGAGTTCCTGGAGGTTTTGAAAAGTGTTATGGTTTTATAGAATGTAAAATTATGGAAACTATGATTGATACTCAAAAGTTCCCTTTATTTTAAAGAGAATAATAAAATATTTATTATTTTTTTCCAGTATAATAGTTGATAAATTGTAGCACAAAGAAATAATGAGCTTTTCCAGGTCATTCAACTAATAATAAAGAGGTGATGGCAAATTCAAAGAGAAAACAAATTGAAATCAGTTGGAGTTTGACGAATTAATCTATTAACTACCACTGATTGAACTATTTGGGAGTATTGTTTCCTCTCTTAGAAAAATGAAATTATCTTTAAAGGTGATACACATAATAATTCATTTTATCTTATTTCTTAGAGTCAGTTTATCATACTGAAATGCTACATTTCACTTGCTATCTCTAGAAATGCCTCTTATCTCTTTCAAAGCTGTGGTTTAGTGACTAGAAAGGGATGTAACCATAAAATAATGAAAAGTGAAAATAGAAGTTTGGGAGATCTTGTTTTTGAGAGGTGCATATTGATGGTCGTTTTTCAAGAGAAAGACCAGAGGTTGACTTCAAAAATTAAAAATATAGCATTAAAATAAGAATCATGTTACAAAATGAGAAAGGAGGCATACAAGGTAATTAGCTAAAATTAAAGCTAAATCTAGAGCCAAGATGATCACCACAGCAGAGGAAACATAGGCAATCAGTTAAAATACAAGCAGCAGATAATTCTAGTGAATAAGACAGGCGGTGATTGATAGGATGGTGTTTTTTTGTTACAGAAGATGTGTTTCTGGGCCAAAAGAATCCAGCACTGAGAGGCCAAAGGCCTGAAAGTCAGTCACAGCCAAAGAAATAGAAGTCATTGAGATACTAGAAACAGTTACTGTTTAACTCTTATCTAGGGAGAGGGCTACTCTGAGTTTGCGGCAAAGCTGAATACATTGTTTATAGTGAAGATGGGCACTTGTTACAAAGGAAGAAACGACCTTTTCTTAGTTCCTAATTTAGTGTAGTGGTCCTCAACAGATTTTCACTTCAGCATTAGCTGGATTCTTCTCTTTTGCTTTCTCTGTTGCCGATTTCTTCTTTATTTTTCAAAATCCTTGTACCTAGAAAACCACTCACTTCTATGTAATTAAAACATCTGGGTGTAGAAGGCATATTTGAGCCACTGGAATCTCTTTCCTTTGGTAATTCTGATGTGCATCCATTGTTATGAACCCTGAGAATGTTGTAGACCCAGTGAATTAAAGTAATCCTTTAAAACCCAAGATGTTTCAGAGTACAATGTGGACAGATTCTCACATATGGGATATAGGTTACATCGATCATGTTGTGATTAATTCTTGGATTGAAGACTTCTGGTAAATAACACTCAACAAAAATAATTTTAAAAAATACTTAAGAAACAGAAGGAAATTTGGAAGTATGAATAGTGAAATGAGGAAGGAAATTACCTATGTGATGCTATATTAAATAAAAATTCATCATGAGGTTCCAAAGATTTAAATTAAAATAATCGTATTCATAACCAGTATTACTTAATAACAAATTCACCAACTTAGGTTGTACACAAAAAACTGAAAGTGACAGTGAGGAGTAGAAGATATTTGGAAACAGAGCTGAAAATTTATTGATTGAAGGAGGAAAATTTAAACTTGGAATAATAAATAACAGTGAATGATTATATTTTATATTTATATTTTATATTATATTTTTGAAATCTTAAATTTCAAAGTGCATAAAAAACTCTCCAGGGATCTTGTTAAATGAAGATTCTGGGCTGGACACGGTGGCTCACGCCTGTAATCCCAGCACTTTGGGAGGCCGAGGTGGGCGGATCATGAGCTCAGGAGTTCCAGACCAGCCGGACCAACATGGTGAAACCCCATCTATACTAAAAATACAAAAAATTAGCCGGGTGTGGTGGTATGCAGCTACTCAGGAGGCTGAGGCAGGAGAATCACTTGAACCCAGGAGGCGGAGGTTGCGGTGAGCTGAGATTGCACCACTTCACTCCAGCCTGGGTGACAGAGTGAGACTCCATCTTGAAAAACAAAACAAAACAAAACAAAACAAAACAAAACAAAAGATTCTGGCTCCATTGGTTTGGGTAAGACCTGAGATTCTGTACTTCCAACAAGCTCCCTGATGATGCCATTGCTGCTGTTCCATACATCTTGAGTAGTAAGTCTCCAGTTTAGACCATCTAAATAAGAGAGAACCTGAAGTAAGTATACAGGTCATCATGGAAAATAAAGGATATTTATTTTATATTTTGATTCTTTAATAATATTAGTGGCTCATTTTTTCTTAGGTTGTTTTCAGGCATTAGGAACAAATTGCATCCTCTGTAAAGCACTCACTGGTTTTACAGAGGATAATTGGATAACATAATTATGTATCCAGTTTTGTACCTTAACATGACAGGTTTCTCCTGTATGGGGTACAGTAAGTAATAAGTATGCAACATTCTAAACACATGAATAGGTTTGTAAAAGAAATATTAAAATGATCTCTTTGGAGTTTATGATAGCAAATAATATTTCAAGGGTTAATTTTATCATCTTTCCATAAAACAGGCCTAATTAGTCTCAGGATCAAAACCCTGGTTAGAAAAACGGTACAGTTTGGTGTGTGTAATGGGTAAAGTGAATTTTCCGGGTTGAGTAAGAACTGCATTCTTTGTAGCAAGCAGAACATCTGGATGAATGATTGGGCTTTATTTCCATATGTTACAAGGGCTTTTCTAGGAAAGGTCAAAACTTTGTTTAAAAAAAATTGCATAAGCAGTGAAAGGCTGGACTTACTCTAAGAGCTATATATACCTGATCTTTACAATATATCCTAGATCTGGTCATGTATAGTTATGCTCAAATAGGGCATAAAGGGTTGCTGTGGTAAAAATCTGAAAAACAAATGGGAAACCCAAGGAAGCATTTTAATAAGATGTGTGTGCAACAACTCCAGTGAAAAATGTGAGTGGCATTAGTCTAAGTGTGAACAGTGGAATCAAGATGGCAGTAGGTTCAGCATGACAGTAGTCAATGAATTGGCAATAGAAGCAGTTAACACTGGTTATGGTTACAGTTACACTTTTGGCTCCTCAACATTGGGCATCCTGCTCCTGCTGTGAAACTCACTTCCTTAAACCCTGGGCATCTACAGATTTGTCACAAATTACAGAACCAGCAGCATCAACTCATTGTTGCCTTCAAGGGATCTTGACACCATATCTTCTACTTTTAGTATCAGTAGCAATTAGAAAGCTCTTTGCATCCTTAACAGGAGTGATAGACTATTAAAATAGAAGTCCCATTTTAGAGGACATTATTGGAGATCAATTCCTCTAGATTGACAGAAATATTAAGGAGAAATTTCAAGGAACTGATTTTCTTACAAAGTGGGTGAGATAGAGCCATAGAAGAACTGCTCTCTAGGTGACATTTATATCTCCAGAATAACAGCACTGGAAAACACACATAGCAATTTTTTAAGCCCAAGGAAAAAAGTACTTTATACTTTCATCATTAAGAATATCCTTAGAGACCTAAAATTTCTAAATGAGAAGCGAGCAGAGAATTTTAAAAAGAACCTACCAAAGTGTTATATTTCAAACCTAAGATTATAAAAATAGCTTTTTTTTTGAAAATGCTTCTTGAGACTGAAGAATAATTGAACTTATGGAAATTTATTTGAACAGAAATATATTTAAACAGAAAAGTATAGTGTGAATGACATAATAGCAGCACCTGGATTCTGTGCCAATTTCCGAGAAATGGAGACTTTCTCGGAAACCAACATAGCTACTGAAGAATTAGTGGACTGGATATTGAACATAAAAAATAATCAGTCTACTGGGAAGACATCTTATAGCAGTGGAGTCAACAGACAATAGAAAAATGTACTAAACAGCTTCTTTTGCTTATTTTAACATTTGTTTGTAAATATAGGATATAAACTTAAGATGACATATAAACTAATGACATAGCATTCTTGAGGACCAATTGAAAAGTTTACAGAACCATGTGACTATTTATTTTCTATAGTTACAAAGAATATTCAGACTTAGTAGAGAATTTAAACACTTTTTTATGACTTAGTTCCACTTTCCTTCATTATGCTTGAAAAATTATAGTTTGCTTCTGGAGCTCAGGGCTACAGCAGAGGAATAGAGATAAAATGTAAGATTGTCTCATTGATTAGAGTTTCCTGTGACTCCAATATTATGTCATCTGAGTCACAGATAGCAATTAATTGCTAATAAAATGCTTTATATTTTCCAGGTTTCCCACTATCTTTAAAACACAGATGTTAACTTGCTCCTGACACTTTCACTTTTATTTTTGTATTTTACTTTTTGCTGTCACCACAGCAGAACAGTTGCTTTTAAGTCAGAATTAGGAAATTTAAAAATGGATATGGCCCTGTGATTTATTTCATGTTTTGTTTCAGCATGTACATCTTTTTCAAAGGTATGTCTCTCTTCCATCTTAGCTAGGAGAGAAAGCTTAACTGTCAGGTATCAGAGCAGCTGAATAAAGCAACAAATCAGAAATGCAAGAGTTAAACCTTTAATTACTTACTATGATGGTATAAGCAAGAGTCTTAAATTAGTGGAAGCACCAACTCATCCCTTGTTCCATTTTCCCCCACGGAGCAGCACATTTAGCTAGAGTCATGTAGATCAGTGTAGTCATGGGGGTGGTCTCACCGTTGAGGGAACTCAGAACAAAAGGCTCAGGCAGATGTACAGACTTTGAGGTCAAGGGGAGGGCATGGGGAAAGAGTTAGGAGCAGACATGTATTACATACTGAGTCACAGTCGGGCAAATACTCTTCAAGATTTCTCATTTCTCCATAAAGAAGTCTCAGCAGAGGTGCCTGAAGCAGACGTGTGTCCAAGGCTACAGATTAAAGATAGAGGAAGGAATATGCCAAGCTTAGGAATGTAAATATGGGAAAAGCATGACGAATGAGGAAGGCCTGAGTCCTTGACCACAACTCCCCCCAGAAACTTTAAAGCAAGGACTGTGTACTATGTCTGTGGTAGAAAAGACAGTTATTCCCCATGGGTCTGGCCAGGAAGAGGCTTTGTGATTGCCTATTGTCAGGCCTGAAAAATTATGCATAGTTTTTTAACCAGAGTATGAACTTCTCTGGATGGATCTTTGTAGACTTATAAGGCCCTTGAAGGACAAAAGCATAAATGGCATCACATGAGATTTTATTAGCCTGATTCTGTTCAACCAACTTTAACCAGATATATTAGTTTTTAAAAATGTACTTAACAGTGCTTGTATTAGTCTATTTTCACACTGCCATAAAGATACTACCTGAGACTGGTTAATTTATAAAGAAAAAAGGTTTAATTGACTCATAGTTCAGCATGACTAGAGGCCTCAGGAAACTTACAATCATGGCAGACGGCAACAGGGGAGCAAGGCATGTCTTACGTGGTGGCAAAAGAGAGTGAGAGTGAAAAGGGAAGTGCCAAATACTTTTAAAACCATCAGCTCTTGTGAGAACTCATGCACTATTGGGAGAACAGGATGGGGGAACCACCCCTATGATCCCATCACCTCCCAACAGGTCCTTCCCTCAACATGTGGGGATTACAGATTGAGATGAGATTTGGGTAGGGACACAGAGCCAAACCATATCAGGGGTCAATGTCAAAATTAATATCAGATCTCATTCTGGGACTTCCAGGACAGAGAAAGCGTAATCCGGAACAAAGCCATACCTGTCTCCTGCCTCCTGACCTGCCTCACACTCCTCTACCTGAATGCACTTGTGAACTTCAGAATTTTGAAGCTCTGTCTCCTGACATCACAGATAGACAGTAAGACTTGTCATCCTAGAAATTTTCTGACTATTAACATTCAGAATTGCTTTTTTTACTTCATGTGTGATTACAAATCTTTTCTTCTTTCATATTTGCTCAACAGAGACAGGGAATTCTTATGTTACCTCCATTTCTATACACATTTAACCAATGTAATATATTATAAATATAATTATGTAAATTATTTTACCTTTTTTTATAATTTCCCAATATGTTCTAAATTTTAACACATAATTTTAACTAACAGTAGCTATAAATATCAGAAATAATAAAATATTGAAACACATATAGAAAGTGCCTATTTCCTAGGATCATTTTTTGTCTCTATTTCAGTCATTTTAATGTATTTTTTGTAATTAATACACATAGGAGGGACACTCTGTTTGATATTATTGTTTTGGTACAAACAGTAATTCAGTCTTTCAAAGCTTGTCAACTAATCAAGGTAGAAGAAAACCATGAACTAGAAGAAACAAAATTGACATCAATAGACTTCACTCACTGCCTGCCCCTAAGAGAATGCAGAAACCAATTTTGTCCCGATAGTGATAACGCCACACAGATTAGATAACAAAAGAGGATACAGTAGGTTTAAAATATTGGGGGAATTTAAGATAAAAATCAATGATGTTAAAAATTAGCTAGGCGTGGTGGCGGGCACCTGTAGTCCCAGCTACTCATGAGGCTGAGGCAGGAGAATGGCATGAACCTGGGAGGGGAGCTTGCAGTGAGCCGAGATTGTGCCACTGCAGTCCAGCCTGGGTGACACAGCGAGACTCCGTCTCAAAAAAAAAAAAAAAAAAAAAAAATTAACGATATTACTTAAGTAATAAAATGTCAAAACATCACTGAGGAACTTAATGAGAGAAAATTTTAAAATGCATAATAGTTTGGGTCGAATTTAAACAAATTTAATATACATTATACATCTCATAATTTTTTCTAATAATTTACTACACCAACGTTATTTATATAAGATTACAAAACTGATAGATGAGAATCCTCATAGAAATAACTAGAAAAATCAGAGAAAATTAAACAATTTGTTTTACTAGTTTGAGTGTTCTCTGAAGAATTGAAGACTTAACCAAAACTTAATTGACCATAAATTGTAAGCACAATATTAAAAGATATTAAAAAGACCAATTTTATGCAGTCTATATTTGTGCTTTATATTTCTTTTTCTATGAAGATCCACATTAGAATATAAGTTACATTTTACACTTTAAAGTAATTTTTTTCTGGTGGTTAGATTTTCAATACGTGTAGATATTATGCAATATCTACCTATGAGAGACTTCTTTCTTTGCCAATTGTAGCAATTACTCCTTTTCCTTTAGTAAAAACCTGTGTAACATAGCTTTGTCATTTGATTCTTAATTAAGCCTGCTCATTTTATAAGAGAAAAGAATCCAGTTAGTGCATCTTTTATATTCCAAAAGTCCTTTGAAATTGAATAAATGTTTAAGCCCTTAAATTATATAGAAGTAAATTTGATATAATCATGTATCCAGTTTTACTAAATTTTCTATTCTTAACCTAGGAGACTCACCATTATTAACTAGAAAATATTATTATTACTATATTATTATTATTTTGTTATTTTCCATCAAGGTAAGTATTGCTGAAGATTGGAAATGTATTTCTATTTTCAAATCAATACAAGATATTCTTGGAGAAATCAAGTTATTGTGGTCAGTATGTGTGATTTTTAACACATATATGTAACATTGTATAATGTTATAAAATGTTACATATTTATTTATTTTTATAGTTTAAAAAGATAACAATATACAAAGCCCTTAACTAATTACATGGCTTATATTGGAACTTAGATAATTGTCCCTGGAAGGGGTATGACCTGAGATTATTAAGGGTAGAATCTGTTTTGTTGTTCATATTTTCAAAATCAAACAGGAATCAGAGATATCTGAGAGAACATTTTTTTTTAAGTCAGAATTATTCCCCCAAAATCCTGAATTCGAAAGTAATTCCACATATACATTGAGTACTAGAGAATTTTCTGAGTAATAGTTAACGTGCTCCAGAGGGGAGCCACCCATGGAAGGAGGCTCACTAGGCTATTTTGGCAGCAATGTCTTGTCGGGGAACATTGCAAGTAATATATGAATAGCATCCATCAGAAGTTCTTATTTTAAAAGGCCCTTAATCACCTAGCATGGGATTATGGATCCCATTGACCTCAAGTATCTCCAGTTAAAGTTATTGTTTACATATAAGTCTACTGAGTGGCCTGGAACATGTTTATCTCTTCAATAACCTCTGGAGCATTTCCTGCTTTATGACAAGCAGCCAGAAGTAAAGAAAATCTTTCTGAAGATGGAATTTTTAACTTCTGAGGAAGAGATATTTCAGTTTGTGATTTATACCCAAGGGATTGTTTCTGACTTGTGATAATTTTATGGATTATACAATTGAAAACCTTCATAAGCATAAAAAGTAAATAATCCTAGCTATTCGGTTAAAGCTATTGTTACAACATAAACTTAACTTTTAGCAAAAAGAAACTCAAGTACTTATACACGTGAAAATGATAACTTGGTTGTTATTATTTAGCGTTTCTAAATAAAAAAGATAAAGTGCTGGTGATATTGCATAGATATGCAGAAGCACTGGTTCTATATCTATAACCAAAGAAAAGAGATTTTCTGTTAACTGAACCAAAAATGTTATTTTTGAATTCCACACAAAGCAATATAGTATCTGATATGTCCTACACCACAATATCAGCATCTGATATCTCCTCCACCTTATTTTGAAATATAAAATAAGGCCTCGTGTCATTTAAATAACACTATTTTGAGAACTATCATTTCAAGATTATTTTTACCAGATATTCCCAATGATCTCTAATATTTGCTCACTTGGTCCAAAGTAATAAATATAGGTTTCCACTGCTAAAGATGAAAAGTAGAAAGACGCTCTTCTCTCAGTTTTTGTTGTTCCCTCACCCATCTGAGACATCCAATGAAGGACAGTCACACAGACTATACCCCAGCTTTAAAAAACAGTGATAATCCTATGTAAATTTACGCCAGCTAAATTCAAATTTGGGGGAGTGTGGTCAAGTGTCAGGACATTGGATGGACAATCAAAATACATTTGTTTTTACTGAGGTACCTAAATTAAGGACTTTTCTAAGAGAAATCTATTCTATAGCAGTATTACTTGATTTTTAAAAACTGATACCAAACAATGACTAAGAACAGATACTACTCTATTCAATGTGTGTTAACTCATTTATTCTTCAAAACAACACTGTGAGGTAGACTTTCCTAGGATCTTTACAAGTAAGGAAACAGGCATAGAGATATTAATAACTGCCCAAGTCTGTGCAGGTGATGAGGGGGCAGAGTCAGATTTCCAACCTTGCAGTCTGGCTACAAAACCCATGCCTTAAACGTTGCACACTATAACCTCTCCTGAGGCTTCACTGTATGCAAACTGCTAGCAACTTCATGGTTTCCTCTGTCTTGGAAACTGAGCATCTTACTATATGTAACTGAGATCGCAGTGAATTAAGTATAAATGACTAATATGTAAATGAGATTTTCTTTTGCTTTCGCTAAATAGCTATTCATAAGCATTGCAAAAATAAAGCTGAGCTCTTCAGAATAACATCCCACTGGTATACAACTTAGAGATTATTCGTGTTTGATTGTTGTAAAATTCAACTATCAAATATCCTGATATATTCTTTTCTTCCCATTTACAAATTATCTTGCATCTTTTATTAATAGTATCTAATCTTATTGTATTACATTTTTATGGTGCACCCGTTCATTTTCTTTTTGGAGGTAACTAGAATGTAAATAAATAAATACATAACTCTAAGTAATCTTGACTTATAAAAAAGTAAGTAAAATATATAAGAGTATTTCCAACCTTATGCTAAACAGCCAAAGGTAAAGAAAAACTTTTTGAAGATGCAATTTAAAAATTACTTTTAGGTATCTTGGTATCAATTTACCATTTACTGATTTGGTTTCTGTGACTGAACAACTGTTTTATACTTGCAAATAATAGAAGTGTGTTTGTGGTGACACATTAACGTGGAAGATTATTTGGAATAATATATGATCTATCCCATTTTACTAGGGAAGAAATGACAACTCAGGAGCTTAGTTGGTGTCAGTTCCTATAGCTTCTAAGTAACAAAATCAGTGGTTTGGGACAATATATTTTTATCCTAGAACCAGTATTCTTTCGACGTAATGATTGTGATAAGTGGCTCAGCTATTTTTCTGTGATATTTACTTTCCAAAGACCGGTAGGGCATAGGAGAAACTTCAAGCAGGGAACCCAGAAAGATCCAGAAGATAAATATGAGGTCAGAACCTTCCCATTAAAAGGACAAATAAGGCAACGGTGGAATGGTAGAGTGGTGATTATATTGATGGAAATTTAGGCAAACATAGATGACTCAATCTAGTCACCATCGCTGAGTGGAAGAACAACATGACACATAAATAGCAAGGAGAATGCATGTGGGTAATGACAATTCATTTCAAGAAGACAAAATCAACAAATACTACCCATCCCTACCCTGCAAACACTCAGTATCTGAGAATTCTAAGGTTTGAGAATTCCCAATGTGTGTTTAGTGAGGTGATGGTTATATGCTGAGTACAGCCAAAGCTACGAACATTTTCTTTAAATTTCAAAATTGATAACCTTGCTTCCCCCAGTAAGACCCCTCTATATGAAATATCTCAAATATAACATGAGCTTTCAATATGTAGGATGGGTAGGGTATTATGTCTGTCTTAGTTTGGTCCAGATTATCTTCTTATAGCTATCTATATGCCTATGATGTTGTCGATGTCTCCCATGTTGAGCTGTTCATATGTAACCCTCCAGTTTATACATAACTCTCTAAAATTAGGACTTAGGCAAGGTATGAAATCAAGGGAAGTCATCACTCAGCACACATTTTTTGGTCTACTCCTAAGAGTTCAGTGACTTTTGCTTTACCTATATTAATTGATAAAGTGATAATGAATATTGATATTTAGTCCAATAATAGATGAAGCCACATTCTCATGGTGAAGTTCTCATTGCTTAGTTGTGATAATGAACAAAGCAAGTAATATGAACAAAGCAGATTGGATAGATTCAGTTTGTTATGAAATAAGTCACAAATTGCCTGAAGTATCAAATTACATATTAGGAATGATCAGAGTCATTTCAATGGAACTGAGATTCTTATCATTAAGTGGCTAGGATGTCTTCTTCCCTGATAAATCTGGGATAGCTCTTATTTATGCCAACTTTTAAATTCTGGTTTTATAGTACACCATCCCTCTCTGGTTTTATAAACCCATCCTTCCTAGAGATGAATTAAAGATTCAGGACATTTCAGTTACTTTGAGAGGGAGTTGGACTGTGTTGGAGACTTTGTGTTTTTTTGCTCCAGTTTATTATGCCTAATTTACACAAAAATTCCATTTTTGTTATCTATTTTTTATATGTAGAAGGGGAGAGAGACATATAGTATTCCAAATTCTGATGAAAAATATAAATAACAATAGCAAAAACAACTTTTTTTTTCTGAGTTCAATTTTTTTGATATTTCACAGTTATCTCTCAGAGAAATTGATAATTGTCCCATTGAACTCTGAAATTCTTAAAAGGAAGACCCTACCAATTATCATCTTTTTATTCTTACTGTCCAGCATGGCATATTTTACATGATAAAAAGACAACGAAAAAGCATTCATTGAATATATACCTACATTATTTATATAGTTCTCAAAGTACTATTCACATTTTTTGTCATTTATTACTCTGTGTGGGTGTCTGCATGTATATAATTTTCCAGAAGTATTTTTAATAAGTTTATTACATATCAGATATACAAAGTGTAGAGTGAAAAGAAGTGATCTACTGACAACAAGAGAAAATGTCTTTTCAAATAATAACAAATAGCATCATTTCCAGTACTGTTCCTGGAAAAAAACTGAGGGTCAGGCTGCTTATTCTTGTGGCCCAATAATGAGATGCACATGAAATGGGAGAAAAGGGAATTTATTTCTGTAACCGGTTACAGGGAGAAAGCCTGGAAATTATCACCAGACCAACTCAAAATTACAAAGTTTTCCAGAATTTATATACTTTCTAAGCTATATGTCTATGTGTTGACTGTGAATTCATCTAAAGACATAAGTAATTAACTCCTTCTAATCTAAAATTAAGATCTGAGTCCTGAAGACCTTCCTCTGGAGCCTCAGTAAATTCACTTAATCTAAATGGGTCTAGGTGCTGGGGTGATTTGTTTAGATCCTCAATAAGCTTGTTTGTGGAGGCTTGGGGAGTTTCTACAGACCCCCAATTAAACTTGTTTAATCCTAAACAGGTCCTGTTAAGAATTCCTTCATTATCTTGTCATGCTTCAAGTTCCAGGCAAGGCCTAGGCAAAACTCTTGGTGGGCTTTTGTTCCGTTCCAGCCTTTGTAAAAGGGCACTGACTCTTTGAGATTTAATATTTAACTTTACCATTCAGTCAGTGCTGAAACAGTTGTTATGGAGGCCTGTGTTACTGAGGCCTGGCCTGCCACAGTACTTCTAGTTGCTTTTATAGCAGCTGATCAAATTTTCAACAGTAAAGGAAAACACTTATTTTATAAATAAAGATGTGGTGCTAAAGCCTGTAACTTCTTATAATTGCTACATACCTTAGCTGGGAATTGCAAATAAAAACAGCAGTTAAAATTTGTTGGCTTTCAGATTTTAGCAAGTAATTTAGAACTTAGGTGAAATATCTTCCACTTAAAATCGTTTATTAATAATTGCATTTTTTTTTCCAGAACTCAGTTCTCTCAAATGTGTATTCATCCAGGATAGTAAACACCATATTTTGGCATAAATCTAAAATATTTAATATTGTAGAATAGTTCATGCATCATATTTAATCAAGTTTAATTTTTGTTACTGATGGGCATTCACATAATTAAATTACATTCATGTCTACTATTAAAAACAATCACTGAAAAATTTCTTGTGATTCATAGTATCAGATATTGTAACATTATGCTAATGTATTTTGATGAGGTTAGTATTATTTAATATATGATGAGACATCCAATATGCCAGATGGACTAGGACAGATCAACAAGTCCTGAGGGTATATGATAATCACGCAGAAGAGGAAATATAATTACAAATTATAATTATATTTAACTTGAGTTTCTCAAAGATATGAATAAAAAATAATTGCAGTTTAAGTATATACTTGTAGTTAATGGAAGCTATTTCATGAGAAGAGAAAATATGAAGGGATATTTTACAATAGGCACCAAAGGCATGAAACTGTGAATTAAAATAAGGAAAATGATTTTTGGAAGCAAATAAGCTCTTAGATTATAACTGCTCATAGAAATGCCAATGATGATGCAAACAATGGTTTACTTCCACACTCTGAATAGATCTAAGTTATGTAAGCTGTTATACTAATGGAATAAAATGCTGGAATAAATTTTTTGCTGAGAAGAGGACAGATTTCACAATGTTTGGGTACATCTCTTATTGTACAAATTGATCATAGTTCAATATAATTTTAATTTTCTCATAAGCAAAATAAAATGCCCATAGGAGGGCTGATGAAAACCTCAAATTGTGAAGCTCATGAATATTCTGATTTCCCTCATATCAATGTATGAACAAACATTTTTTAAGGTAAAGAAAAACATAATACAAAAAAAGTTATCTTGTAAGAATTATGGTTAGGGAGAAGCTTAAGAAAGTTTTCCTCCTGGTGCTGGCCTAGATAGAAAGGGTAGCAGCTTCTAGACTCAACTCTGTCACCTCTGTTGTTGAAAAAAAAAAAAAAAAGCCATAATATTCAGGGAGAAGGGCAACAAAAATTCTTGCCCTTAGGGCACTAATGAAAACCCATTACAGCTGGGGAAAGACTGAAAACAATCACACACACGCACACACACACACACACACACACGCACATACACACACATCATTTTTAAGCAGGGAGGAGGGGAAGAATCTTTGCTGCGCTCAACATTATAGCTGGAGAAGAGTAACATAGCTGTGAAGGCCACATATACTAATGTCAGGAAGCTTTTATCCTTATAAGTTTGGGACTTTTTTTTTTCTGATGAGAAATCAATCTCTATTGTTGGAAAAAGGGAGCAATATGAAGCTTTTGAAATCTTGGGCATAAAGATTGAGATAGAAGTACCATAGAAGGGGGAAAGAAAAAAAAGGAAAGGGGATTGGTCATTAGGTTCATGTAACAGCCAAAGTCAGAACTCATCCTGAGATAAGTTTCAGGGCCAGCCCAAGAACTGGAAGTTGTAGGGCCTGTGGAGCATTTAAAGAACCAATTGTGTCAGCTTTGTGGAGACTGGCAGTGGCTGTGGCCCAAGGGAGTCCATCTGAGCTCTGAATGTAGGCAACCATCAGGTTTTGGACCCTTGACAATAAATAATTCACTTTGAATTCACCACAATAAGATGTAAAGCCCATATTTGAGGAAGCCTTTCCATGCTGTATGTTCTGTAGACTTCATCTACCAATCTGACTGTAGGGGTACTGACAGAAAAGAGTAAACTGGAGGGAAAATACTAACAAAAGTAATTTCAAAATGTCTTGATTTAGGGAAATAATCTCTCTATCTTAAGCATTTACCTATTGCCAGCTCCAAAAACACCTGGAAAGAAGGAAGGAAGGAAGGAAAGAACGAAGGAAAAACCAAAGCTAAGGCATAGCATAATAAAATGTTAAAACAACTGAAATAAGAAAAATATCCTAAACTATTACAGAAAAAATGTACAATAAACTAAATGAGCATCTGGCAGGTAATGGAGTAATGCCCTGCAAATACTAACAAAATGTAATTTTCAAACTAAAATATTCTACTCAATCATGTAATTTTTAAAAGTAAGAGTAGCATAAAGGTATTTTCAGATAGATGAGGATTAAATATATTTATATTCTGGTCACTCATCTTTAGGGAAATGCTGAAGGCTCTCTGCCAGCAAAAGAAGGACAGAACCAACAAAAGATGATAAAATTGAATATAGGAAAATGGGGATTAAGCCCAGTAAAATAAACAGAGAAATTTTAGATAATGTAATGTATAGGACGACTCAAAAGCAATTACATAGTCCATTTTGAAACAGTAGGACAAAGTGCATCATGAGGAAAATCTCTTGGAGGAAAAAATAAACATAATCACTTGGGAATAGTGAGCATTCAAATAATTTTAAATAAAGAAAAAATTAGAGATTATATGTTTTGTTATATTATAGATCTGATTCACTACATGGAAGAGATCAATATAAGAACATAGAATTCTAAGTAAATGAAAATCCAATATAAGAACATAGAATTCTAAGTAAATGAAAATCCAAAGCAGTTTATTACCACCAGATACATCAAGCTGTTGAAAACAGACAAACATACAAACAAACAAAATTTTAGTACATTAACTGGCTACGTTATTCCTACTAAATCCCAGCTACAGAATACACACACGTGCACACACACCCCACATACCACACACACAGCACATACCACACACACACACAAACATCATACACACATATATTGGGACGATGATATAAGGAAATTTAGGAACAGTGTAAGCTAAATCTTTATCAATCAAATGGTAACATCCATACGATTTCTAAAATTGATAAAACATTTTTATGAAAGCATATTATTTAAAGTAGAGGTAAATACAAAACAAATATGAAATGACTAAAATCATTGCTTTTGGGAGCATGGTTGTGAAACAGAATGGGGGAGTCTTGTTTTTTTAATACATATTTAATGTTGATGATTTTTGAAAGTTGTGAATTATTTGATAAGAATGCCAGGTAAAATATAATTATTGAATATTTATTGAATCTTCCAAATTAAATTTCATTCACATGTTCTGTAATGGATTAATTTGCTGCCTATGTGAATCAAATACTGGACTTGACGCTTTGGTGTACATATACTAAGGTTTTTTCTATCCCGACTCTCAAGGAGCCTATAATTTTGGGAAAATTGCAAATACTCACTATATAATTAAGTATCTCCAACTGTAACACTAAGGCATCTGTTCTTTCTGTAAAAAGAAAGTATGTTGTTTATTTATTATAAATTTGGCATTGAGTAATGGGCTCCAGTCCCCTTTACTTCCTGTTTCTGGTTAACTGTGTAATTTATTTCTGATTATTAAAAATGGTACATGCTAATTATACTTTTAAAAATTATAGTGCATACATACACTATATAATATAAAAGATCAAAGTATGCCATAACCTTTTCTTTTCTTTTTCTTTTTTCTTTTTTCATTTTTCTTTTTCTTTTTTTTTTTTTTTTTTTGAGGCAGGGTCTCACTCTGTTGCCCAGGCTAGAGGGCAATGGTGCAATCTTGGCTCAGTGTAACCTCCACCTCCCAGGCTCAAGTGATCTTTCTGCTTCAGCATCCTGAGTACCTGGGACTACAGGCACATGACACAATGCCGGGCTGATTTTTATATCTTTTGTGGAGCTGTAGTTTCACCATGTTGTTCCGGCTGGTCTCAAACTCCTGGACTCAAGTGATCTGCCCTCGGCCTCCCAAAGTGCTGGGATTACAGATAAGAGCCACTGCACCAGGCTGCTATAATCTTAGAAGTCACAAAATAACCACAATTATTTATTGCATGATATATTCCTGGATTTTTCACAATTACTGTTGTCTTTTATCTGTATTTTCAGATTTCTTATTTATATATGAGCAAATATTATTTTCTGTTACACTATATTAAGGATAATACCTTGCTATTGGCTTTGTGTTTTATTTCCTACTCTGTGGTAAATTTTATCTTAAAGTACATATAAATCTATGACTTTAAATATTAAAAAGCAGTTCATTGAAAACACCAAAATTAATGGTAAAATTGTTGATTGACTATCATTTGCTTCCTTTATTTTTGCTATTACCAACAATATGGAGTGAAGTTTTTGTAATTATTGTAAGTACTTCCATATGACAATATTTAAATATAAAAATGCTCCATTGATTATGAATATTTTATATTTTGATATATATTATTAATTTGTTCCAAGTGGTTATAGTAGGCCTTATAGATTGCTATCACTTCTGGAAATGATATGCTTTTATTAATCAAACTCTGTCATAATCAAGTGTTGTTAATATTTTGTTAATGTCCAAATATCAGATTTTTTAAACAAATGTTTTAATGTCTTTAATTGACTAATTGGTTAATTATTAGTTAGATTGGTATGTATTTATATTATTACCCACAATTGTGTTTATTTTAATATAAATTACCCACTTTCATATTTAGTCAAGTTTTCTTCATTTGCTAGGCCTCTTGTTTGGTGCAATTAATTCTTTGTCTTTTTCAAATATCTTCAATGTGGTAAATGCCTTTCAGATTTATACATAGTATTTTTTGAAGCTTAATAAACTTAAAAACATAATACTTTCCCTTATATGTACTATCTTCCAGGTCAGGTAAAAAAGTGATTTTCTCGCATTCAAATTACAGACATATTGATATATATATAAAAGATCAAAGTATGCTATAACCTTTTCTTTTTCTTTTTTCTTTTTTCATTTATATATATTATATATATATTTTATATATATATATATTTGGGGCACTCTTTTTTGGGGGTTTGTTTTGAAGTAGATTTTGTTTGTTGTTAATTGTTTGGGCTGTTTTTGGAGGTCTAAATTTGAATCATCATTTAATCTTTGATTCAGAATTGAATAAATAGAAATTATTAATCTAATGGTGCAAAGAATGGAGCTAAATGTAATTTCTGCCATATAGTAATCTGTCCGGAATTGGTGGATTCTTGGTCTCACTGACTTCAGGAATGAAGTCGCAGACCCTCACAGTGAGTGTTACAGTTCTTAAAGATGGTGTGTCCGGAGTTTGTTTCTTCAGATGTTCAGATGTGTCCAGAGTTTCTTCCTTCTCGTGGGTTCATGATCTTGCTGACTTCAGGAGTGAAGCTGCAGACCTTCGTGGTGAGTGCTGTAGCTCATAAAGGCAGTGCGGACCCAGAGTGAGCAGCAGCAAGATTTATTGTGAAGAGCAAAAAAACAAAGCTTCCACAGAGTGGAAGGGGACCCAAGTGGGTTGCTGCTGCTGGCTCGGGTGGCCTGCTTTTATCCCCTTATCTGGCCCCACCCACATCCTGCTGATTGGTCCATTTTACAGAGAGCTGATTGGTCCATTTTACAGAGAGCTGATTTGTCCGTTTTACAGAGAGCCGATGGGTCCATTTTGACAGAGCGCTGATTGGTGCATTTACAAACCTTTAGCTAGACACAGAGTGCTGATTGGTGCATTTACAATCCTTTAGCTAGACAGAAAAGTTCTCCAAGTCCCCACCAGATTAGCTAGACACAGAGCGCTGATTGGTGCATTAACAAGCCTTTAGCTAGACACAGAGTGCTGACTGGTGCGTTTACAAACCTCTAGCTAGACACAGATTGCTGATTGGTGCATTTAAAATCCTTTTGCTAGCCAGAGAGTGCTGACTGGTGTGTTTACAATTATTTAGCTAGACACAGAGTGCTGATTGGTGCGTTTACAGTTATTTAGCTAGACACAGAGTGCTGATTGGTGCATTTACAAACCTTTAGCTAGACACAGAGTGCTGATTGGTGCATTTACAATCCTTTAGCTAGACAGAAAAGTTCTCCAAGTCCCCACCTGTCCCAGAAGCCCAGCCAGCTTCACCTCTCACTGGCACTCGCTGCGGGACTTTGCGGCACCTAGCCCAGGCACTCCAGCAGCCCAGAGGGAGCTCGTCCCCTGATCAAGCCGTGCAGGCGCTGGCCAGCCATGCTGAGTGCAGGGCCCACTGAGCCCATGCCCACCCAGAACCCACATTGGCTCACCAGTACCGTGCACAGCCCTGGCTCCTGCCTGCGCCTTTCCCTCCATGCCTCCCCTGGAGCAGAGGGAGCCGGCTCCAGCCTCAGCCATCCCCAGAGAGGGGCCCCCACAGCACAGCGGCAGGCTGAAGGGCTCCTCAAGCACAGACAGAGCAGACACTGAGGCCGAGGAAGCACCAAGAGTGAGCGAGGGCTGCTAGCACGTTGTCACCTCTCAATCCCCCATCTAAGCAGGACACCCCAACTGCTGTTGAGAATTTGGCTGATGACCGCTCTAGCTACTTCCTGCTGGATAGGGGCAAAGAAGGGGCCCTGCAGTTGTAGTGTCCTCCAGAGGGGAACTCTTTAGGCCAGTGGAAGGACCAGTGGGTCAGTCCAGGAGTCCTCGGTAGAAGTTGTTAGTTGAGGTCATTTGGGGTTCCATTTGTAAGACCATCTGTAGCTTGATGGCCTCGATTCTAGTGGTACCTCCACAAGAAGGTTAAAAATTCAGGGCCGAAAGGCAAGTAACAGCAAGATGGCTGCCGCGAGACCTAGAAAGGGGAGAAGCCATGTTGCCCAACTCCAGAGGTTGGTATAAGAGTTTGAAAGGTGTTGTCTAATTTCAGAAGCCTTTTCCTGTAAATGTCAGGCAGCATCTTGTACTATCCCTGACTGGTTAGTGTAAAAACAACACTCTTCCCCTAAGAAGGTGTAGAGTCCTCCTTTCTCAACAGTGAGGAGGTCTAGGCCTTGGTGGTTTTGGAGAGTCACTGCTGCCAAAGAGTCTATTTGGGATTGTAGAGTAAGGATAGATTTTGTTATTTCTTACAAACTGTCTGAGAAATCCTTTGAGAGTGTGTGGTAGTAGGATAATGCATGTTACACTGTTAACTTTTAACAAACTTTGCTTTAGTTGAAAACCTTGTAAGTTTGGGATTTTAATTTTTCTTTGCTATTAATCAGACCTCATTCAGTCCATATTAACTTAGAATTGGTATAGATGTCTCCTTCCTGATTCTGTAAGTACTTTAAGATTTGGCTGAGTGCAAACAACTCACACGTTTGAGCAGACCAATTATTAGGCAATTTTCCTAATTCTGCTTCTATAAGAGTTTCCTTATCACATACTGAATACCCATTGTGTCTTTTTTCCTTAATCACCTGGGGGGAACCATCTATCATCCTGTCCTGAAGGGAGTTCCTTCTATGTCTGGTCAGATCTTTGTATGGCAATTAATTAAGATTTAGATCCCCTGTTAGGAAACCTTCTGGGTTAAGGATTTTTGATAGGAAGGCTATGGGTTATCAGTGGCCTCAGTGCTTTTGGGCTACACCCCTGTTTACACTGACAACAAGGTGGCATTGGAGTGTTATAGGGCCACAGAGAAGACCTTCAATCCTCAATTATAGGATTTAAATCTACCCTGGCTTTCAAAGGAATAGGGTATACTGTTTTTTTACTACTTCTATCTCTCTCTCTCTTTGACTTCTTTGACTCTCTCTTTCTGACTCCCTCTTTGTCTCTGTCTCTTTCTCTCTTTGACTTTGTCTGTTCCTTCCTCTCTCTTTGACTTTCTGTCTCTGTCCCTTCCTCTCTCCTTTCTTCTGGTCTTTCCCTGCCTCAGCCAGCCACTTATGCTGCTGCTCTCCCCTCTCCTTCCCCTTTTGATGGCTTTTGCACTGTAAGACTGCCACCACCTTGGGTTTTTGCACTGCGTGCAGTAACTCCATAATTTGCTTGTGGTATTTAATGGGGGTTCCCCCAGAGGTTAAGAACTCCCTTTCTTTCCATATTGCAGCATGGGCATGTACGATTAGATATGCATACTTGCTATTTGTATACACATTTATTCTTTTTCCTTTTCCCAGTTCTAAGGCTCGGATAAGTGCCATTAGTTCTGCTAACTGGGCGCTGGTCCCTGGGGGAAGAGGCTTACTTTCAAGTACAGTTACATCACTACCTATGGCATAACCTGCCCTTCATATTCCATTCTCCACAAATGAACTTCTGTCAGTACATAGGTTAAGGTCAGGATTAGCTAAGGGGACTTCTAAGAGGTCATCTTGGGCGGCATAAGTCTGGACTATAATTTGTTGGCAGTCATGCTCAATTGGTTCGCCATCCTCTGGGATAGAAGTGGCAGGGTTGAGGGCCACGCACGTACATATTTGAAACACCGGTCCCTCAAGGAATAGCACCTGGTATCTAAGTAGGCAGTTGTCTGATAGCCATAAACTTCCTTTGGCACCTAGTATGCCATTCACATCATGCGTAGTCCAGACAGTGAGAACCTTTCCTTGTATTACCTTGATAGCCTCTGACACTAAGACGGCCACCGCCGCAACTACCCATAAACAGTGAGGCCAGCCTTTTGCTACTACATCAATTTTCTTACTTAGGTATGGCACTGGTTGTGGGATTGTCCCATGAGTCAGAGTAAGGACTCCAAGAGCTATCCATACTCTCTATGTGACATATAAAGAGAAGTTTTGTCCTGTTGGAGGCTTAAAGCTGGAGCTTGTACTAGGGCCTGCTTTAAGGTTTTGAAGGTTGTTTCTGCCTCTGGTTCCCATTCTACTAGATGAATATTTGCCCTCTGGGTTTCCTTGATTTGAGTACAGAGCGGCCCGGCTATCTCACTGTATCCAGGGATCCATAGTTGGCAAAAGCCGGTGATTCCAAGGAACCCTCGCAACTGTTTTTAATGTCTTAGGGTGAGGATAAGCCAGTATAGGTTCTATTCATTCCTTGCTGGGGGCCCTGGTCCCTCTGGCTAAGATTAGGCCTAGATATTTGACCTGCTGTGGGCAAAGCTGGGCCTTCGACCTCGACACCTTGTACCCTTGGTTAGCTAGAAAGTTCAAGAGATCTAGAGTAGCCTGCTGGCATGAGGCTTCTGAACTGGTAGCCAAAAGTAAATCATCCACATACTGAAGGACCAGAGTGCCTGGACTTGAGAAGTGGCCTAGATCTTGGGCCAGTGCCTGACCAAACAGATGAGGGCTATCCCTAAACCCTTGGGGCAAGACTGTTGATGTAAGTTGGGACATGTGTTCTGTGGGATCCTCAAAGGCAAAGAGAAACTGGGAGTCAGAGTGCAGGGGAATACAGAAGAAGGTATCCTTGAGGTCCAGAACTGTGAACCATTCTGCTTCCTCTGGTATTTGAGAGAGCAGGGTATAGGGGTTGGGTACAACTGGATATAGAAGAATTACTGCCTCATTGATGAGTCTAAGATCTTGCACTTGTCTCCACTGACCATTCGGTTTTTGTACTCCTAGAATTGGGGTGTTGCAGGGACTGCTGCATTTCCTTACTAAGCCTTGAGCTTTTAAATGTTTAACAATATCCTGTAATCCTTTATGAGCTTCAGGCCTTAAGGGTATTGCCTTTGATAAGGAAAAGTGGTGGGGTCTTTTAGCCTGATTTGGACTGGGTGGGCATTTTTTGTCCTTCCAAATTGTCCTTCCAATGCCCAGACTTCAGGATTGATTCCTTCCTCAAGTAGGGGACAACAAATGGGTAACTTGTTCCCCATATTCATGTAGATAATAGCTCCAGCTTTGGCTAATATATTCCCCCCTAATAAGGGTCTGGGACTTTAAGGCATAACAAAAAATGCATGTGAAAAGAGCAAAGTCTCCCAATTACAGCTGAGGAGGTTGGAGAAATACCTGCTTACAGGCTGTCCCAGGATTCCTTGAATGGTAACGGACCTTGAGGACAGTTGTCCAGGACAGAAGCTTAACACTGAGAAAGCCACGCCAGTGTCCAAGAGGAAGTAAATTTCCTGGCCCTCAATGGTTAAACATACCCGGGGCTCAGTGAGGGTGATGACATGAGCTGACACTTGCCCCGGGACCCCTCAGTCCTGTTGTTGGATCATCTGGAAGGTGCGCTGCCCCAGAAGACAAAGGTTCGATTGCCTTGGCATAGCGGACATGGACAAGGGGGCAGCTTCTTTCTCATTGGACAATCTTTTTTAAAGTGTCCTTGTAAACCACACTGATAACACGCCCTACCAGATGATTGGCCTGCTCCATTTTCTGTCCCCACCCATCCCAGAAGCCCAGCCAGCTTCACCTCTCACTGGCACTCACTGCGGGACTTTGTGGCACCTAGCCCGGGCACTCCGGATGAGCCCAGAGGGAGCTCATCCGCCAATCAAGCCCAGCAGGTGCTGACCAGCCACACCGAGTGTGGGGCCACTGAGCCCGCAACCCCTGGAACCCGCACTGGTCCGCAAGCATAGCACGCAGCCCCGGCTCCCGCCTGCGCCTCTCCCTCCACACCTCCCCATGAGCAAAGGGAGCCAGCTCCGGCCTCGGCCAGCCCCAGAGAGGGGCCCCCACAATGCAGCAGCAGGCTGAAGGGCTCCTCGAGCACATCCAGAGCAGATGATGAGGCCTAGGAGGCACACAGAGTGAGCAAGGGCTGCTAGCACGTTGTCACCTCTCAGTAATATATATCAGACTCATTTAAAACTCAATTTAAACTGTTCAGCAATATAAAGAGCACTATTGGTTCCTAGCACTTGAAAGTTCAGTGGTTGGTCTGACCTCAGTCTGATCTTCGTCTCAAATTTCAAATGGTCATCTCAGGTTTCAAACAAGGTCATCAGAATCTGTTTTGTTTTGTTTTTAATGTTTGTTTGTTTGTTTCTCTCTCTTAGTTTTGCCTTGTCTTCAATTTTAGACCCATGTCAACTGGTTAATAAATCATTAGTTAGTGGCCCCCAGGTTTAAACCAGCGGAAAGAAGATGATTCTTTCTACAATTTGCATAAACGTCCTGGAATTAGTTCTTACTGACTTGAATTGGGTCTAATGCTCATTCCCAAAGCACACATGGCCTGGGTCATGAGGTATTGCTGGTTGGAACTTCGTGCACCACTCCCTGAGCTTCATGATAGTAAAATAGGAAGGAAATTTGAGTAATTTTATAGGAAGAAAAATAGATTTGAGCAGCTAGAAAAATAGTGATATATTATTATGAATGAATTATCCTATTGCTCTTTAAACATATAATGACCATTTCTATCATTGACTTGAGGCATCACTTCAGCACAAAAACTACATTTCTATGAGTTGAACTTCTTTTCCCAAACTCAGGAAGCTGTTTCCCTTGGTGGGAATGTTCTTGATTCCACTGGACACTGTGACAATGTCTGGATATTGATTGCTTTGATTGGATTCTAAATATCAACAAAGTAACAGTGTACAGTATCTGTCCCTCAGCAGTCACCACACCTTCATATGTTGCCCCTTATAAATCACATAAAATCATGTTTATGGCTTCTACTGAAAACACCAACACTTCTCTGCTAATGTCTTTTGCTGTCTACAAAATCATTCTCAGTTCGTGTGTGAAGCAAACCAGAGGTTCCAGGGAGTTAATCCTGGGTATATTCCTAATAAATCACAGAGTGGAGGTAGTGAGTAAATACCTCTGAGTTTACCCTAGACTGGGACAACTCAAAGTCACATTATATTCATTTTCCCAGAAAGTCCCCAGTAGGATTGAGTCACAGTAGACATCTGTTCTTCATTTACCTGTATTGGCTTTGTTTCCTGCTCTATCTCACCTTCCCACTCTCTTAGTAGTGTTTCCAGTAGTCACTTCCCAAATCCATTATGTGTATTCAAATCTTTGTTAGTTTCTCTGGGAATTAAATGTAGAACAATGAGATTTTGCTTAATTCATCAAGATTACACTAAAAACTTGTTGCACAAACTTTGAAGTGTTGTACATGGCAAATAAAACCCAAGATTCAATGTTTGAGTTTTATTTTGCCAATGTTACTTGCCCTGGCATGGATTTACAGGTCAGTGACTTTCTTTTCCCATACATATTCTCCACATCTGCAACTAATATTGACATTAATTGAACAATATGGTGTCATATCATTTTTCCTTTATAACTTTCACATAAAATGCATTTTTAAGAAGTCCTATCACAACACCATGCTTTTGGAAGCTCCAGGGCTTTTTGTTTGTTTGTTTATTATTGCCCTGTACCTCTCAAATCAACTGTTTTAACTCCTGAAATTTTAAAATTTATTTTATTTTTAAAATTATTTATTTATTCATTCATTTATTCATTTATTTATTTATTTTGGAGACAGAGTCTCATTCTGTCACCCAGGCTGGAGTGCAGTGGCGTGATCTCGACTCACTGCAAACACTGCCTCCTGGGTTCAGGTGATTCTTGTGCCTCAGCCTCTGCAGTGGTTGGGATTACAGGCGTGAGCCACTACGCCTGGCTAATTTTTGTATTTTAAGTAGAGATGGGGTTTCGCAATGTTGGCCAGGTTGGTCTCAAATTCCTGACCTCAGGTGATCTGTGCATCTTGGCCTCCCAAAGTTCTGGGGTTAGAGGTGTGAGCCACTGTACCTGGCTTTAAAATTTATTTTAATACACGGTGGGCATGTATTCTTCATTTTCCAAATTTTTTGCTATTCACAAACATGTATTACTCTATATCAATCTGATTATAAATCCAGCAAGGTAAAAATAACAATATAATCCTAGAAAGATTCTCATTGAAACTGTATTAATATTCCATAATAAATATAGAAAATGAAAATATTTACACTTTTAAATATCTTCTCCATACAAGACTTTGTACAAGTCTTGTAAATGTTTTGTCTTGAAAACTATTTTAGAATTTGTTACAATCATACATGGGAAATACTTTGCCATTACATTTTACTGGTATCAAATAACTTTATTCATGTTAATATACTGTCTCAAATCTCAGAAATATTATGTAATATTATTATTTTAAATGTTATTTATATTTAATAAATATTGATTGGGTTATCTATGGGAAAAGATTTAACCTATTGACATATGAAAAGTTTTTCAGATCATTTTTCTCTATGCTCAGTTTTTCTTGGTACAAGGAAACTTGATATCTAAAGTGGATGGTATATAAAAAACAAAAGTCCTGTGTTACCTATGTCACTGAAATGTACTGTTTTTTTATACTCTCGTGGAAGAGGAGTTTTTGCAAAGGCATTTCTAGTTCTTTAATGACTAATTACACCTTAGCAAAGTAAGTAATAGCCACCTTTTATAATGAACAAAAAGACATTACTTCATTTATCTTCAAATCATTTCTAAAAGAGAATCATTAAATCATTATTTTCCAGGTCAGCACAATGAAGAATGGAAAGGTTTCTGCTTTTTTTTTTTTTCAATTAGAAAGTAACGAGACCATCCTGGCTAATATGCTGAAACCCCGTCTCTTCTAAAAATACAAAAAAATTAGCTGGGCGTGGTAGTGGGCACCTGTAGTCCCAGCTACTTGGGAGGCTGAGGCAGGAGAATGGTGTGAACCCGGGAGGCAGAGCTTGCAGTAAGCTGAGATTACACCACTGCACTCCAGCCTGGGCGACAGAGCAAGACTCAGTAAAAAAAAAAACAAAAAAACAATTTTTCTTACCAATAGCCCTACTAAGTTCCAGTAATCAAAACACAAGTAAAGATAACTAAACTGGACAATGGAGTTGTCCATTGTGTTTCTGTTTTTGGTATTGCACACAGTTGAATGAGTAACTGCATAAATTTGTAGCGTATTCTTTCATTTGATTGTTTATCTTTTGCCATATCTCATCTGGTTTGCTTCACAATTAATTTATTTTTCATTAATATTTACATTTAGAAGTGTGACCACATCTTAAAATTTCCAGTGTTTTATTTATTTTGCCTTATATTTAAGGGAAAACTGTCCTCCCCATCTTCATAATAAAAGAATTATATAAAGAAGTTTAAATGGATTGTAGATGGTATAAGGTAATCCTTGGATTACCAAAGAATATGGGATTTTAAATTAATCTCTTAAACTCTCCTTCCTTCCTTCTTTCCTTCCTTCCTTCCTTCCTTTCTTCCTTCCTTCCTTCTTTTCTTTCCTTCCTTCCCTTCTTCTCTTTTCCTCTCTGCCTCTCATACTTTCTTTCTCTCTTTTCCTCTTTCTCTCCCTTCTTCTTTTCCTCCTTCTCTAAATTCATTTCAATTTCTTCTTTTCAAAAAATTTAATCAATATTTTCACTTCAATAATCTGCCTTTGAATTATCAATAAATTAGACATAGAGTAGAAGAAAAAAAGCCCAAAAGTTAGTTTTTAATTACAATGGGAGGATTTTACTTTCAGACACTATTTTAAGGCTTAATGGGTATAATATCTTGAGTTTTTACCCCACTGAGTTGCAGATGATAACATCTGCATTGTGAAGCTTACCTCACATAATGATTTGGAAGTTCAGATGTAATATATAATAAAACACTTTGGAAAACATTTCACAATATAAAAATGTGAAGCATTGTTGTAAATATTACCCCGTAGGATTAGAAAGGTGAAAAAGTTGAAAAATCTTACACAAATTGAATCTGAAATTCTTAAAACACTATCCTACATTCTGTAGAAAGCTCACACTTAGACACTAAATGACCTCCAAATATTTATTTGTCTACTCTCAGTTGGGAAAAACAAATGAGAAAACAAAGGACCAGTAAGTTTAAGAGACTGGTCAACTATTGCATGACTCACATATGAGAGACGAAATTTCAACCTATGCTTTGTACAGAGCCTTTTCTATCAATGCATGCTCTTTGCTCTACTGGTTGATGAACGTTTTGTAAAGGAAGGAAAGCTCAACATTTATAGTAATTCCTATTGAAACTCATTTGTCTCTGTTTTCTAATAGGAAGATGTTTATACTAAGCAATCTAAACTATTACTCCTGCGATGCTTTGCTCTTGTTCTTCAAATAACCAAGGAACTAATTTGTCATGCAAAGAAGGAAAAGGCTGAAATTCATTTTTTGTTTTAACACCGTTTGCATATATTCATAGTTCTGATGATTACAGGAGAAAATTCCAGAAGTTCATCTTTCTAGTTGAGAATTCATCCTTATAAGCATTGTAACAGCAATCAAGCATAAGTAAGCATGTGCTTCACAATATCCTTATCTGCAAGTCTGCTGAAAAAAGAAAACCCAAGCAATACGTGTGAAGCATTTGGTGTCTAATATTTACTGTCAGCTGGATTTTGCCTATAGAAAAACAAATATCAGCTGTGGAAATGTCAGGTCGTTTTGATTTTATAAGAAACAATGAGAGAGAATTATGATTAAAGCAGTGGGTGACCAAGAGTTTTAACACGGTAAGTGCGGACTACCTCAGGGCTAATGCTGCTCTGTTTTTTAACTGTTAGTAAAAAACTGTTAGTACAGTGGAAGGCAACTTTCAAGAGACCAAAAACAATAACTGTTGGATTTCAGAATATTGTCCTTGACTCAAGAATTTGTATAACTTATCACTCTAGGATAAGCACTTGGAATATTTGTCCAAATATGGCCAAATAGGCCAGAAGTCCAGTGCCTAAGCAGCAACGGCATAGCTCCAGCAACTCTTTGTGGTTGCTTTTTAGGATTGTTTAGGTTTCAAATTCCAGGTATGTTTTACCTCTTTTCTAGAAATGAAAGGCCCATTGATCCATTTTATTATTTTCCATAGATATAAATATTATTGAATATGAAGTGTGTGAATTTTTATAAGAAACTTTACTGCAAGGAAGGCCATATTTCTTAAGTGAAATTAAATAATTCAGGTGTCTTGCAAGTGAGCTGAAAATCAAACCTTAGTAATTTAAGGAATCTCCTTTCTCTCCCTTGATACCTAGAACCTGGCATCAAACATAATATTCACCAGTTCAGACCCATAAATCCATGGCTGCATCAACCTGTTATGTTTGGGCTTTGACTAGCTTCATGAAGGTTTAATTTGAGAACACTTCACTTCAGGTCCAAGCCTCTTCCCTCGTGCCTGTCCCCCTCAGCCCTGGACTTCTCAGTTTGCATCTATTCTTGATATATATTTGCTTCCCCAGTGCACTATTTCTGCAAGCATCACTCTTCTGCTATCCTGGGGTTTATAGACATAGCAAGGACAATATTGTCTTCTACCAGAAGATATATTTTATGGCAAAAGAGATGGTAAAATGGATTCACGGTCATAGGACCCACTGGCATTTTCATATATCCCAACACCCTGATGCAGCTGATCTAACAGAATAAAGAAGGGCTTGTTGAAAGTTGAGCTAAGGTGATGGTTTAAGGACAATACTCTGCAGATTATAATGCTATCTCTTCAGGATCCTGAATATGTAAGGAAACAATGGCATATATATGATACTTTGTTTCTGTACCTAGACTACATGGATTTTGAAACTGAGGAAGTGGTATTGGTCCTTCTCAACATGATTCTCAGTTTCCTACTTGAATGTATTATTCTGAAGGTGTAGTGGATTTTAAGGTCTATGTTTTCAGAATTAAAGCTTCCTTTTCAAGGGAATGTAATAAAGGTTCACTGAACTTGAAGCTATGACTACCACCTGGTCAAAGGGAGGTTCTTAACACAAACAATGCAGTAGGCATAGAAAAAAGTTTACTCTATCTGTAAGAATCATTTAATTCTGATTTCCATCAAGAACCAGGATTGCTGGTAGGCAGTAGGAACATGGAAAAATACATCCAGATCATCCAGATCCAGATAATTAAATGGTAAATGCACAATTGAAGAATCATAGCTTGACAAGAGCAAAAAAAGTATCTAGACTCTTCGGTGATAAATTGAACAATGGAGACTAGTCAGAATGCTAGCTAAGGGTGCAGGCAAATGAAAGTAAGAAAGGGAGAATAGGGATGAATATCCTTACAAATAAATGCACCAATGAAGATTTGTTTTCATGAGCCTCTTACTTTCATTCTTTTCAGAGACCAAAGTGGATCTTTCCCTTAGTGGGAGCTTTGTGATGAAGTAGCCTTAATAGGGTTATGTCTGTATCTGAGTTATATCAGAGCAGTTGATATGGAACCTCTCTTGTGCATTATTTAATACGCCCTCACAGATTTCTTTTCCTTTATTTTCCTTCCTTCCTTCCTTCCTTCCTTCCTTCCTTCCTTCCTTCTTTCCCTCCCTCCCTCCCTTCCTTTTCTTTCTTCTTTCCTCTTTTCTTCCTTTCTTCTTTTCTTTTCTTTCTTTCTTTTTAAATTTCAACATTTATTTTAGATAAAGGAGTATATATGCAGGTTTGTTACATGAGAATATTGAGTGCCTCTGAGGTTTGGGATACAGATCCCATTATCTAGGTGGTGAGCATAGTACCCACAGGTAGTTCTTCAACCCACGCACAGTTCCTTCCCATTCTACTCGAGTAGTCCACAGTGTCTATTGTTCTCATGTTTATGTCAATATGTGCTCAGTGTTTAGCTTCCGCTTACAAGTGAGAGCATGAGGCATTTAGTTTTCTGGTCCTGTGTTAGCTCACTTAGGATATTGGCCTCCACCTTCACCCATGCTGCTGCATAGGACAAGATTTCATTTTTTATGGTTATGTAGTATTCCTTGGTGTATATGTACCACATTTTCTTTATCCAGTCCACCACTGATGGCATTTGGGTGGATTCTATGTTTTTGCATCATAGTTTTTTTTGTTGTTGTTTTTTTTTTTTTTTTTTTTTTTTTTTTTTTTTTTTTGCCAAAGGAGAGTAACATTTCAGTCAGTGGGCTGGGAAAGGCAGACCCACCCTTAATATGGGTGGGCACCATCTAATCAGCCTCCAGTGTGGCTAGAATATAAATTTAATTTTATTTACTACTCCTGTATCCAGCTCTGCAGCTCCTGCTGTGAGCTTCTGTTGCATTTTGCCCTTGGGCTTCGCTGTTAAGGTAGCAGTAGAGATACCCAGAACAGCTCTTGTATTTCCTAAATTGGTTACCTTTATGCCCCTTGAGGGACAACCTTTGACCTATGGTGTATAATTCTCTGTGTCCCTCAGGGTTAGTCCTGAGATGCATTTCATTTTACTCTTCAGGAGTTCCTGTTAGAATGAGCAAACAATTATTTGTATATATCGACTCTCCCTCCTTTTTTGGTATCACACTTCTTACTCACTCCTGCTCTCTAGATCACATTATGCAATAAAGTCATTTAATTTAAACCTTTTTCAAAAATTCTGCTTTCTAGGGAACTCTAGCTCCCACAGAGCCCAGGGCATACTCAATGTGAGAATTTTTTGCCAAAGTGCTTTGTTCTTTAGTTCATGAAAAACCATGCTGTGTTGCTTATTGGCTGGGTCCATTTGGCCCGTTGGCCTTAGGTGGCTCTGCTGCTTATGGTATCTACTTTCGTCACATATAAGTCTTGGAACCAGTATGTTCACTATAATTTTTAAGATGTTTATTGATGAGTCTCTAGCAATCACAGCCTCTTCCTCAACTTTCAGACCACTGTCCTTTGCAGTAGTAGGATATCACCACTCATTGCATCTGTACCTTGCATGTGGAGAATCGAGCTTTCTTTGAGACCTGGCCCCCTTTTCTCCCTCGAGTCTTAGCAACATTCAAGGACAATTTAGAACAGTTGCTATGAGCATAGGCTTTAAAAATTTAAGAACTCTGAAATCTCTCGTGGTGTAATAAAAGTCAAATTTTCCAAGACTTACAGCTTTGGCTACTCTTCTTTCCTAAAGAGCTTAAGCTTAGATAAAAGACAGGTTGTTGCTCATCTTGTTGTTACATAAAGGTTTTTGGGGGAAATATTTACTTACTTTTGGTGAGATGGGAAAAATATTGGCTAGAAAACTTTCAATATGATATTGTTTATATCTATTTCTTACTAAGTATATGTATTTGAGCTGGTCATGGGCCTTAATTTCCCCACATCTAACATGGAAATAATATCTACAACATTCTTGTAAGAATAATAAGCAATAATATTTGTGATACTAACTTGTTCATAATTTTTAGAAATGTGAGATGTTTCCACTATAGTGGTTATTGATGTTGACATAGTACTTACTATATCCAAAATAAATTTTTAGGTTAAATAATACTGTCAAATTCAAATGCACTTGAACATAAAATAATTACACAGAATATATCTATGACTCACTAAAATTACTAGAAATGTACATCTTTTACTCACTGAGTAATGGTTAAACTATATGAATTTAGACGTTGGAGGTGCTGCTCAAAATGTTAGGGTTGAGTTTTCCATGCCTTGTGAAGATCATTTAGGTATTACTATGCATTATGTTACACAACATTAGTGTATAGTTCTACATTGCTAAAATAAAATATATATGCATAATTATGAAAAATATTGTTCTCTGTAGTAAAAAAAATCATATTTTCCCATCTGGTTAGACTTTATATTCATCCTTAGCTTTACTTATCTGCAAAATGGAAGGAAAAACACATACTTCAGAAGGATTGTGAATTATTCCTAAATGCTTTTTCATATTCAAATGTAATAGAATCTAATGTAATAGATGCTTAGAGAATGTTTACTGAAGGAATTTCTAATAAAATGTTTCAAAGAATGTAAAATTTTAAGAAAATATGCCCTTAATACATTGTCCATGATTAAACCTACTGAATAAGATTGTTAGGTAAGTGGACTTATAAAATAAATTTGTGATGGTTAATACTGAGTGTCAACTTGATTGGACTGAAGGATGCAAAGTATTGATCTTGGGTATGTCTGTGTGGGTGCTGGTGTTGCCAAAGGAGATTAACATTTGAGTTAGTGGGCTGGGAAAGGCAGACCCACCCTTAATCTGGGTGGGCACCATCTAATCAGCTGCCAGCATGGCTAGAATATAAAACAGGCAGAAAAACGTGAAAAGACTAGACTGGCCCAGCATCCCAGCCTACATCTTTCTCCCATGCTGGATGCTTCCTGCCCTTGAACATCGGACTCCAAGTTCTTCAGTTTTGGGACTTGGACTGGCTCTCCTTGCTCCTCAGCTTGCAGATGACCTGTTGTGGGACCTTGTGATCATGTAAGTTAATATTTAATAAACTCCTCTTTACTCCTCTTTATATATATATGTATATATATATATATATACGTATATATATATATATATGTATATGTATAAAGGTGTTACTGGCTGCTTGTCTTGGATTGTTCTGTGCAGCTATCAGAGTATCTAAGACTCAGTAATTTATAATGAGCTCACATTTTTGGAGGCCAGGAAATTCAAGATCAAGGAGCTGGCATCTAGTGGTGGCCTTCTAGCTGTGTCATCACATGGTAAAAGGGAGAAGGTCAAAGAGAGCAGGAGGGGTCCAATTTTGCCCTTTCATAATGGCATGAATCCCATCATTGACAACAGAGCTCGCAGGGCTTTGGCACTTCTCTAAGGTCTCACCTCCTAACACTGCCTCAGGGGCAACCAAATTTTAACATTTTTGGAGGGAGCAAAAATTCAAACCATAGCATTGCTTAAGGTAAAAATGACCTTTAATTAATAAACTGCATGAGTAGCTGATAGAAAACTATACTGGGGTCTTCTCTGACTATACCAAATCCCATAACTGGCATGTCCTTTGCAGAAACCCTAAAATAATGGCTTATATAAATATTATAAAAGATATTGATCCTGTGGGGCCAGATATTTTAAAGCTATATCAGCTCCTGTAGCCTCCTGATTTTTATCATGCCTTTGAAATATTGCACTGCAATAAGGACTCCTGGAGAAAAGCAATACCTGACACTCATTCTGGCAAGCTGTGGTTTCTGCCCTGTTACTTCTGATTGGAGTGGTACCCATGAGAATCTTGTCACTCAAGTCATTCAAGTGAATCTTGTCACTTGAATGTCTAGTTGAGTCTCAGAAGACCTTCAGGTGGGGTTGCAGTTGCACATACCATCACCTCAATCCTTAAATTTTTTAGTGTCTATTTCCTGAAAACAAGGTTATTGTCTTACTTAGCTGCAATAAATTAAAATTAAATTAAATTTTGAAATTAAACTATATTTTAAATTAAATTTTAAACCTAATGCAATAATATATACTGCTTTTTTTTTTTTTTTTTTTTTTTTGAAACAGAGTCTCACTCTGTCACCCAGGCTGGAGTACAGTGGCGCGATTTCAGCTCACTGCAAGCTCCGCCTCCTGGGTCCAAGCGATTCTCCTGCCTCAGCCCCCTGAGTAGCTGGGATTACAGGCACGTGCCACCACGCCCGGCTAATTTTTTTATTTTTAGTAGAGACGGGGTTTCACCATGTTAGTCAGACTCAAACTCCTGACCTCGTGATCTGCCCACCTCAGCCTCCCAAAGTGCTGGGATTACAGACGTGAGCCACTGTGCCCGACCACTGCATTTTCTTTAGCCATTCATCTGTTGATGAACATTTAGTGTGATTTCATATCTAAGCTATTGCAAATAGTGCTGCAATAAACATGGCGGTGCTAGTATCGCTTTGATATATTGATTTTCTTCCCTTTGATATGTACCCAGTGCTGGCATTGCTAGAAGCTAGTCTCATTTTTAGTTTTTTAAGGAACTTCCACACTGTTTTCCACAATGGTTGTACATAGTATATGAACACAATGTGATACCATTCAGCCTTAAAGAAATAATAGAAACCTGTCATTTACAGCAACATAAATGGAACTAGAGGTCATTATGTTATGTGAAATAAGCTAGACGCAGAAAGACGACACATGTTCTCACGCATATGTAGGAGATAAAAAAGTTGATCTCATGGAGATAAAGAATAGAATTATAGTTACCAGAGGCTGGGTAAGAATGAAGAGAAGTTGGTTAATGGTACAAACATACAAGCAATAGAAAGCTCTAGTGTTTGATAGCACAATAGGCTGACTATGGCTAATAATAATATTTTATTTATTTCAAAATAGCTTTAAGAGAAGAGCTGAAATGTTTCCAAGATAAAGAAATGATAATTGTTTGAGGTGGTGAAGATGATATTCATTAGTGCAGGCTTCCAACTTTTTCATTCTCTTTCAAGATTCTCTTTTGTGGTGGATTAAAAATGGCCGTGAATTCTGTTTGAATCTTGAGTTGACCTCATGAGTTGCTCTAATAAAGTAAAAGTGAAGGAAATCATTACTATGTGACTTCCGAACCTAGGGTTCATGAGGCCTTGTGACTTTCATTTTTGCCTCCTTGGAGCCCTTTGACTGTCAAGTAAAAAAGTTTAGGCTAACCTCCCATTGGATGAGATACTATGTAGAGAGAGGCCCAGCTGACCACCCATACCAACTGCCAACAAATGACTGGCTCCCTCTTGGGCTGGCCAGCCTCTGTTGAGCTACCAGCTTAGTCTGACAGCATGAAAGAGTTCAGGTGAGACCAACTGAAGAGCTGCTCAGCTAACCTTAGCCTAAATTACTCACCCACAAAATGGTGAGCTAATAAATTAATGTTTTTTGAAGCCTCTGTGTTTTGGGGCAGTTTTTAATATAGCAATTTATGACTGATAGACCACAGCTGTTTTGGACCCCTTGAATTTCCAAATAAATTTAACTTCATTGTGTCATTTTGCACTAAACAAACAAATAAAAACTCATTAGATTTTGCTTGAAACTGCATTAAATCCTGACAATCCAATATTAGGATGGTTGAAAATTTTACAATTTTGAGTTAACTCAATATCTGTTTCCCAGTATTTCATTGACTATTACTCCTATTAAATGCTTTAGTGCTCACAGGAAAACAAAAAATGGTATATATGGTTAAATAACTTTGAAAAACACTGGATGCTATATATAAAATAAAATATTATAGGTACAGTAATATATTACAGATCTTGAAAGTTTTCATAGGAATACGAAAAACTGTTTTACTTAGCTTAGTGGGGCACTTCTGAAGTTGGATATTGAAAATGAAAAAAAAAAAAAAGTATCCAGAGAGAATAAGTAGAAACTTTGAAACAGTTTACAAAGTGTTACTAAAATAGTAACTCATGTTTCCACATTAAACATACAAAATAAAAATGTGCATATTTTAGAAATACACAAAAGTGCCTAGACGTGATGTGGTTTGACTGTGTCCCCATCAAAATCTCAACTTGAATTTTATCTCCCAGAATTCCCAGGTGTTGTGGGAGGGACCCAGGGGAGATAATTGAATCATGGGGGCTGTGCTATTCTCATGATAGTGAATAAGCCTCACGAGATCTGATGGGTTTATCAGGGTTTTCCAGTTTTGTTTCTTCCTCATTTTTCTCTTGCCACCGCCATGTAAGAAGTGCTTTTCACCTCTCACCATGATTCTGAGGCCTCCCTAGCCATTTGGAACTGTAAGTCTAATTAAATCTCCTTTTCTTTCCAGTCTTAGGTATGTCCTTATCAGCAGCATAAAAATGGCCTAATACAAGATGATATAGAATATTTGCTGTGGCTAACTTATCAATTAAAAAAAAAATTCAAAACGTGATGTCAGACAGAAAAATAGAGGGGAGAAAAAAAAAACACACACACATGTAAATTCTGAATCTAAAATGTAAAAAAATAGTTTAAAAAAGGAAGCAAGCAAGTGCCAGGAATCCTGAGGTTTATCTCTATAAAGACATAGGGAGATCCAGGGAAGCCTATTTCCTTTACCAGTGCTGTCTCTCTTCTGTTGTCTACTATAATCCCAGCACATTGGGAGGCCAGGGCGGGCGGATCACGAGGTCGGGAGATTGTGACCATCCTGGCTAACACGGTGAAACCCCATCTCTACTAAAAATACCAAAAATTGCTCGGGCTTGGTGGCGGGCGCCTGTAGTCCGAGCTACTCGGGGGGCTGAGGCAGGAGAATGGCATGAACCTGGGAGGCGGAGCTCGCAGTGAGCAGAGATCAGGCCACTGCACTCCAGCCTGGACAACAGAACGAGACTCCATCTCAAAAATAATAATAATAATATAAATAAATAAATAAATACGTCTGAGTAACATTTATGAGATAGTTAAACTATGTAATGAAACTTTCATGACAAAATCTTTAATTGTTCTGATAAAAGAGTAGAAACCTCTAGAGTAGTAATTCCCAAACTTTTTCATATTATTGTGCATATAGAAAAAAATAATATTTGTATGGCACACTGAGACAAGCAAATGGGGATAATGTGGGCTGATAATGACTGTACTTGGATATTTGGTCATCTCAGGACCTTCCCAGCTTCCTAGGGGGAATCTGTCCTCCAGTCACACTAGTTTAAAAACTGTTATTTTCTCTTCATTAGGAGGAAATAGCATTCATTCCCCATAGCCTACAATTAATTAGGTGACTTACAGGTTCAGGATGATTTTTCTAACAGGATTTTAACATATTATTGTCTAACAATATTTTTACAAGAAGTTGCTCTTTGGAAGCTTTTTCAGAGGAAAAACCCTCTCTGCATCATTTTAGTACAAGGATCCTATCAGATCACCTTGAACATTATACACATTCAATGAGTATATGCTAAGTGAATTATTAATTAACTCTCTCTCTTATAATTCTGTGAATAAAAATGACAGAATAATGAAAATATTATGCCAAATAAAATCAAAGTTCTCATATACTTTATTTTCTCATTTCCATCAAGAACTAAAAGAAAATTCTGCTACACATCTTAGTTCAAATATAATGATATCTGTCACTTTATCTTGGGCTTTTCAGCTAGCATACCCAATACAGTGATAGGATATATGCATCTATAATCATCTTTTAAATTATTTTCAGAGCTCCTTGTTTAGTGCCTGCATATAATAAGTACCCAGTACATCTTTGTTGACATATTAAATCAAATCTAATCTTAATTGTTAATGTCTAGTAAGACTGAGGGTTCATGATCTTTCCAATATGAGCCTACAGGGGACTCATTAGTATTCAGATCATCAGTAGACAGCTTGAGTCAATTAAAGTGTATCTTTTACAATCTGTAAAGAGACTAAAATTCACACACTACTTTAGAAACCCATTAATAATTCAAAAACATATTTGAAATTTCTTATCCTCTGACACCAACTGATGGTAAATATCAATTTAATTACATTCAGAAAATTTACATTAAGCACATACTACGTGCAAATCTCTCAGTTCCACACTATGGAGACTATCAAAGTTAAAAAGACATGGTACTTATTATAATTCTGATTTAGTATTTGATAATTATAACTCTAATTTAGTATTTGATAATTTATTATTTACCAAATACTTAGTGATGATTAGTCTGTATTATTCCATTAAATAATCATATTCATTTATTTATTCAGTCATCCATTAAGCAAACATTTACTGACTACCAACCATGTATTGGGCATTATTGTCAGTTCTTGGGTTAAAAGAGGAAAAAAACAGTCCAAGTCCTTGCTCTCATGGAAGGCATACATTTGTGAGGAAGATAATAAATAAAATGGAAAATATAAAATATGTCTACATGGTCAGCTTTAACTGTTAAATTATGCTGTAGTAATCAACAATTCTGAAATCACTATGCCTTTTATTGACCAGGGTAAGATATGGCTCTGTTCTAGCTCTGATTCTGCTCTATGTATTTTATTCATTATGTAATCTAAGCAAAAGAAGCAATTCTAATCTGGGACAAAGCATTGTCGTGGAAGACTCAAAAGTGCAGCAAACTTTTAATTGAAGTCTCTTTAACAAAACCATATGATGGCTATTAAAACCTCTGTTCTAATTGGAATGCAGCTACTTTTGTTCTTACCTTATAAATCAAGCAATTCAGGTGGCCAAATGTGATTTCAGTGCTGAAGGCAAGTATATTCTTCCAAAAAGGAGAGATACGTAATACCCTTACATGAAATATAAGTAAATATTTGGGAGAAATAATTTATCTCCTGCTTTGTGTATAAGTGGAAATGGCACCAGAATGAGAGAAGGATTTTATTGTTACATAAGTAGATAAGAAAAGCCTCAGTAACACATGAAGAAAAACATGAAACGAGTTTGGGATTGAGCCATTCCAATGCCCAAATTAAAAGCATCACAGGCAGATGATTACCAGGGAGCCAAAGTGGCTGGAGATTGAATGAGAGGGAAGGACAGTATGTGATGAGGTCAGAGAGGTAGGAAGGTGGTTGATTTGAGTAAATGCTTTAAAAAGATAACTGGAGACTGAAGAGGAGAAAGCGTGGAACCGCAGATACAAATTAAGATGCTCCTTCAACTATTTGATTTAGAAGTGTAGGCCAGTCTATAGAGATGAAGATTAAGAGAAGTCATAGGTTTCTGAATATATTTTGAAAGTAGAGCCAACAGATTTTGTGGACGGATGGATTCTATAATGGGAAAGAAAGGGGAGACAGGTTGACTTCAAGATTTGTGGTCTGAGCACTTGGAATGATGGAGTCACCATGTTTATTTAGATGAGGAAGCATGCGAGAGGAACACATTCAATGAGAATGTTAGGAGCTCTGCTTTAGACTTAGTTTTGAATATCTGTCATAATTTTAATCATATAAAGGAGTCGGGCATTTAGGGAAGATTTTGAGTGTTGCACTGCAAGCACAAACGGGTAATTTAAGCCCACTATTCTGGATAAGGTCACAAAAGGAGTTGAGTGTCAATGGAGACCTGAGGATAGAATCCTAGTGCGGTCCAATATTAGGATCTTATGTCAGTTTCAGTGAATGAAATAATGTAATTAATGTCTAATTGTACAGATAAGGTAACTGGATATTAGTATTATAATGGAAAACTTAAGCAACCTTTTCCAAGTTAACAAGACTGATCATAAGAACATGCTGTAATCTAGCAGACAGACCAAGAAAAAATGTAAGATGGAAAACAGATTTGGAAGTACAAAAATCAATTCTATTTGCACATAAATGCATAGATATCTCATGGGTGATCGGATAGAGAAAGAAAGAAAAAGTGCATACATGAAGTGAATAATAGCAGAGAGCAGATACAGTAAAATATTTCTTTTAGGCACACAGAAAGCAAATAAAATTCTGGAAATCTCTGAAGTCAAGAAAAGAAACAGTATTACATAGGTATACTATGAAAAGAAGGAAATAGTGTTAAACAGAGATGAATGCAAGATTTTTATATTTATGTACTAGCTAGAAGAAGAAAAAGGAGAAAAGAAAAGTTAAATGGATGAGGAAAACCAAATCAGTGAAATATATGGCAGTTAAGTGTTGTTAGTGGGAATGAGGGGATGGTTAAAAAATCAAAATTAATAGAAAAATGAAACAGATATTAGGCTTAGTATACAATTACATTAAAATTATTATAATTCATATGTTCAAGAAGGTAGAGGAAGCATTTAAAATGTTTCAGTAGTGACATAGGAGAAGTGGAAAGATTCAAATAAAACTTATAAAAAATAAAATGTCTAAGATTTTTCAAAAATCCTTTATATGAGATTAAAAACAGAGTAGAAAATACAGAAGAAAGGAATGGTGACTTTGAATATGTAATAATAGAAATTATCCAATGAAACATGTGCTATTCATCATATATAAATATTTTTGGTAAAATATTTATTTAATTCTTTGGCCATTTTTTTTAAACTGGATTGTCTTCTTATTAGTTAGTTGTAAGTTTGCCTTTTATTTTATGAATACACGTTCTTTAGCAGATATATGATTTGCAAATATGTTTACTCAGGCTATGACCTGTCTTATAAATTTTTCAAAGCCGTATTATTAGAAAAATAGGTATATTAATTTTGATATAGTCTAATTTATAATTTTTTCTTTTACCGATTATTCTTTTATTATTTTAGGGTCATATATATGTGTGAATATATATGTCTGCCTTTGCCTAATCCAAAACAACTAAAGTTTTCTTCTATATTTTTTCTACATAATTTATGGTTTTAGTGCTTACATTTAAGAGTAGGCTCAATTTTTTTGCAAATTCCATTGACCAGCACAATTTCTTAAAGTGAATTTTCTCTTCTTCATTTATTTTCCTTGACCTATTCACAAAAATCAACCGACAATAAACATAAAGTCTATTTTTGGACTTTGCATCCAGATCTATTCATCTATTAATTGATATGTCTGTTCTCATAAAAATATCACACTATCTTCATATCTTTGAAATTGGGAAATGTAAATTATCAACCTTTGCTCTTTGCTTTCAAAATTGTTTTGATTACTCTACTTTTTTGCTTCTATATACAAGATCGGCTTGTAGATCTCTACAAGTAAAACCATGGGAATGTGATTAGGATTGTGTTGAATTTGTATATAAATTACATAAAAAGGAATGTCTAAAATTAAAAAAAAATCACTCTAACAAGTGTTAATAGAGATAAAGACCTATTGAACATTTTCATTGCTGGTGCATAAGTAAAATGATACACACAGTTTGAAAAATAGTTTGACAGTTTCTTAAAAAGTTAAACGTACACTTACTGAATTATCAGCATTTTACTAATATGTTAACAGAAAATAGTCTAAATTTCCATTAACAGGTAAATTGATAAAAATATTTTCGGTATATTCATATAATGGTATACTACTCAGCAATAGAAAGAAGTAGACTACTGAAGTAGCAACATAGATGAATCTCAAAATAATTATGCTGAGTCAAAAAATCAGACAAAATATATATATACTTTGTAAGTATCTTGATATTAAAATCTAGAAAATAATAACAAATCTATAACAGAGAGTAAATCAGTGTTTGCCTTGAGTCTGGATAAGGTGCTGGGAGTAGAAAGAAGGAGGGATTAATAAGGAAACTAAGAGACTTTTGAAGGACGATGGATATGTACATTATCTTTATTGTGGCGATACGGTATATGTTTGTCAAATTGTATTAAATTGCAATTCACGTGCAATTAATTTTACATTAACTGTACATTTTTAAAGAATTAAAATTGTTTTTCATATGAACACAAAATAGTTTATATTTTTCTCATAGACTTAAATATTTTGTATTAAATTATATTTTTTAAAATGTTAACATTTTCACTGAAACAGTTTATTTAAATCTATATTTCACAGGGCTTCTTTAGCTCTCACTATCAATATGTATTTGATAGTTAACTAGTAGTCTATCCATGTTGAATCTCTGGTTACAATAGTATCTGTAGGAAACATTTATTTTCATATTCAAAAGACCATTCATCAACTTAAATTTGCTGTTCTCACTCTGTCTTCATATCCCAGGTGTAATAATGAATCTTTGCTCGTTTTTAGATCTATAATCTACCTTAATATTCCTTCCGTTGTTATTCCTATGTCTTTTTATTTTCCTAAATTTGGGCCATTGTTTTAATATTTTGCCCTGTGTTTCTTTCATTGAAGATTTTTCTCTTACCTTTTGCTTGTGTCCTCAAGGTTTAGAATCAAATGTCTGACCTCAGAGCCTATGGAAAGCTTGCTGCCTATTGAGTATTCCATTCTTGATTGTTCCAAATCTTCCTGTTGCCAGAATCCCTTAGCTATACTCAAGAATTTTTCACGTCTGGCTCTTCCTTATGCATATTGTTTCTCTGGACTTACATCTGTTTTCTGACACACCCTTTCTGGATGTCACTTTATGTTTGACTTTTAGTCACTAAAAGTTGATGCAGGTTCTCAATAACTTATGCTGCTCACAGGAGTTGTGGAATTTTAGGTCTAAGATATTTCTCAGTGGGCCAATTTTATTGCTGTTTGTCATTTCATGCCACAAGAGATAACATGTGCCTAATAACAAACTTATTGAAGAAAGAGACTTCATAAAAAGGCAAAGATGGGCCGGGCGCGGTGGCTCACACCTGTAATCCCAGCACTTTGGGAGGCCAAGGCGGGCAGATCAGGAGGTCAGGAGATTGAGACCATCCTGGCTAACACGGTGAAACCCCATTTCTACTAAAAATACAAAAAATTAGCCAGGCGCGGTGGCGGGCACCTGTAGTCCCAGCTACTCAGGAGGCTGAGGCAGGAGAATGGCGTGAACCTGGAAGGCAGAGCTTGCAGTGAGCTGAGATCGCACCACTGCACTCCAGCCTGGGCGACAGAGCAAGACTCTGTCTCAAAAAACAAAACAAAACAAAAAAAAAGAACAAAAAAAGGCAAAGATATTATTTATTGTTAGCTTTGTTAAGATTCCCATTCTGAAGTTTGAGAAAAAATATGACAATAAATATTACCAAAATACCACAATTAGATCAGTGTTTGGAAAGTTTTACTTGTATTTAATGAAGGAAAAATATAAATGCCCGTTTCTACAAATACACAGAGCAACTTTAAGAACTCATCCTAAATTTCTTCAAATTTAAATTAAGGCAATGATGCCCTACAAAAATTGACAGATTATAAATTCCCTGTGGAAACAGTGTGACCAGAAGCAGGCTTTTAGTCTGCATTTCCTTTAGGCATTATTTTCTTAATTTAAACTTGGAATAATGAAGGGTGATTTGCAAATTAATTATGTAGGTTTCTTGTTTAAACATGAGCATTTAAAAAATTCCAAATGACATCTGCAGAGTCAGCACAAGTTTAGATAAATACTGTACTGTGTTATAGATCTGAATAACCCATTTATTTAAATCTGCAAAGAAAAGTGAGCTAGGTATAGGAAAAGGCCATACACAAATTATCTCTTGATTGCAGATGCCCTTGGTGATTCATAATTGTGAAATTTTAAAATCGTCATAGATATGCAAAATGGGTATAGATTATATTAAAGTTATACAATCAATAAATAGTACTTGTTAAATTTTACTCCTGAGCATGTTATCTTACAGATCTTTGTACTATAAAAGGAAAGAAAGGGTGTGGCTTTTTAAATATCCGTTAATTAATCTTTTAGATAATGTATGTTAATACCATGTGATCCATCTAAATGAAGACAACTATTAATAACGTTTAGAGGCCATGTTAAGTTTATGTTAAATATATACAATTCTATGTAAATTTCATAACTACCTTTTTAATATGCATTATCTCCTCAAGAAGCAAGCATTTAAATTGATTCAAAGAGTTTTTAAAATGCATTTTTAGTAAAAAAGTGTAACTTCAAAAAGTTGGGGATTAGGCTTAAAGTAATACTCAAATTATATGCATATAAGTCAGCATATTGGAAAGCAGCATCATAATATTTATATATTCATAGGGAATTCAAGTGCCACAGAATTTTTCTTCTTTTAATCTCTCTTAATTGAAAAGCCAATGTGTGAATTAGAGTTGTCCACCAGAATAAGTCAATTTTCTCATCATGAAAGTATCATAGTGAGCATACTTACACAATTCAGCATTGAAGGCACAAGATAAAGCCTTCTTTCTGAGAAATTATACATGGAGAGTTAAGTGTTCATTTGATACTCAATTTTTCTGAAACTCCAAAGTTATTAAAGCAACCTGAGGTTGTATGCAAGAAAAAAAAATCGGTGGCCTTATCAGTCAGTTAGCTTCAGAAACATAATTGATAGATTGTTATTTGTTGAACTAAATTAAACTATAAGAAATTGATCAGTAATGTTAATGGTTCCTGGTAGTCAAAGGGATGTAAACTGAGAAGAGGAAACAATGAACACCTTTAAGAGAAACATTTTACAAAGTGGTAGAGATAGACACCAAGAAGCAAGGTTTAGAAGTACCTGGATAATGAGTACATTCAGCCAATAATTCTCAATGATTCATTTATTATAGTTAAACTTTATAAACACTTGAAGTTCAAAAATGGTTTGATAGATAAATAGGACAAGATACAAAAAGAGACAATTATCAATAAAGTCAAAAGAAATAAAACGCAGTACTTGAAAAAGAGGAAAAAATCCTTACTGTAAGAATAAAAATTCAATAAAATTTGGAGGTGGATAGGAAGTAACAGATAATTGACATGTTCTCTGACCATTTCAATGTAATAAGAGGATTGTCATCTGTGTAGAGCAAATGGTTGACATGGGAAGTGGAAAATTAAATAAGTTCTAGAAAATTTAATGGATCATCATTAGAAATCAATATAAAATTGACTGAGTTGTACATTTAGCATGGCTGATTTTGGTTCAACACATTCAGTGTCCATGTTGTTTTTAGTCCTTGACTCTCACTTGTATCCTACTTACAGTTGAACCATATGATGATGTTTCAACCAATGCCAGGGCTGCGTGTGTGATGATAGTCCCATTGGATCATAATACTGTATTTTAACTGTACCATTTTAATGTTTAGATACACAAATAGTTACCTTTGTCTTGCATTTGCCTACAATATTTAGTTTAGTAACATGAAGTATAGGTTTGTAACCTAGAAGAAACAGGCTATACTATATAGCCCAGGTGTTTAGTGAGCTGTACTGTCTAGGTTTGTGTAAGTACACTTTTTAATGTTTGCACAATGATAAAATCACTAAATGACACATTTCACAGAATAAGTACCCATCTTTAAGTGATGCATGACTATATTCAGTTACCCGTTAATAAATTTTGATCATAATTAGTCTCAATATCAATATATTTAACTTACATTTATTGAGTTTTCTCAGGTGACTCACACTGTGCTTTGAGAAATATAAAGACTTGAATACTGAACATTATGTTGGAAACATGACACACTATCTTTGTTCAACCTTTAGTGTATCATAAAGAGTGCTTAATAGAGTGGTACTTCACGTCCTGTGATTTGAAGGGTACAGGTAACAGTTCGATGTAGCAATTTAATAAGATAAGACCAAGGTCATCAAAGTTGGCTATTGAAGAAAAATACATCCAACTTTCCTAATGAAAAGACACAGACTCTGAAAATTTCTTATATGACTGAATGCTAAATTAGTGTAGTGTAAAGAGAAAGGTTATAAAGTCAAGAAAACTGACTTTCTAAAGCACAGAATTTTTGTAAGGAGATACTATGTTAGTGCAGCAACACTAATATATTGGAATGAGATTTGAAAGTGCTTATAAAATGGGAGCATGAACTAAGCAGAAAAGTAGTGAGGGTTAATGAGATTTGCAGTAATCTACAGCACAAATTAAAATCATGCAAAGCAGAAGATCTAACAGTGGCACACAGACAATCCGAAAGTCTGAGAGTTACATAACTAGAAGACAGCTGCATCAGAATTGGTAATTTGCTTCATCAGTCTCAAACAGAGAGGTAGCCAATGAGCTATTGGTTTCACAGGGTTTAAAAATACTGAGAGACAACATGGCCAGAGTATTTATGACATTTCTTTACCACATGCTCAGAATTCGTATCCAAAACTACATTTTTGAAAGTGTAACTAATAAAATTTGTAGTGCTTACTCACATTCTCCACTCAATAGGCTATTTATTTGCTTTAATTTGGAGCAGGCAAACAGTGAAATGAAGCAGTGAAATGTACTTATTGTGTAATGCTATCATGAGATGATTTACGTGCTTTGGGGGTTTGGCTAATGTTCAAAGTTAAACCTTCTCTCCGATGTCTCCTACTACATGTTCTTTGAAGACACTCCATCGTGGGTCATGTCTCACCTTCAGTTTGTTTGTTTGTTTGTTTTTTTAACACCCACCCAATCACTTAACAATTGTTTCCTCTGGAAATGAGCTTCTTTTGGAGCTCCTTGAACTGTAGTTCAAAATACTGGTCAAAATCCAAAACAACCTCTTGCCACTGGTGTCTTGAGTAGTCTACATGTGATCCACAGGAAACATGTATGTCCTTTTTTTATGTGCCCCTTAATCCCCCCAAAAATTGGAAGTGTAGGCAGTCATCAATTCAAGAACAGCTTTATCATTACAACACTGGCCATCAACAGTTCCCAATCCTTCTGATTCCCCAAACAAAAATCAGTAGCTCCAAAATATAAATCAAATGTTCTAGGTGTTACATTGGTGAATCTTTTCCAGGCTTGACCTGAAAGTAAAAGCACATTCTATCATTTCTCCATAGAGAAGGAGGGAAAGGAGATTCAGAGACTATCAAAGCTTCCCCTAAAAAATTTCCTTCTAAAAAAAAAAAAAAAAAAACTCCTAACTTATATGTAGACTGTATATTAGATCATAATATTGTGTTAGATAATGATATATTGTGTCAATCAAAATAAAAAATTCAAAACAAGGAAACAAAATAAAGAGCATTGCAACAGCAAATAAGTATTTAATTAAATGTCAATTTCTCATTAAACTTTATTCATTACACTTTCCTATATCTGGAAAACAGGTACTAGGCACTTGAAAATACTTGCCATGTGTTTTCTTGGGCCTCATCCACCATTATTTTAATTTCAATATCACGTAAAAAACAGTGCAGCTAGCTGGTATATTTGAAAAATATTTGTTTTCATACAAATTATTTATGATATTAAATTATACAGGGGTTGATAAAGTAGCTTTGATTTTGCTAAATAATGATTTTAAAAATGAGTCACAGGAAATAAATATTGCTTAAATACATTTTATGAAATAGCACACAGATATTTTAAAATTTAGTATTAATTAGGAAAAGTTCACTTGAACCTTTTCATTTCTTGAACAGCATGTTTGAATTTAATTATTCTAAATTTTTCTTTCAGTCTTTTTGTTCACTGTACTTTTTTGGATAATTTGCATAAGCATCTATTGACATTTATAGACTCTTTCCTCTGTCATTTTCATCTTGCTATTTAGAACATCCAGTGTATTTTTTTCTTAGTTACAGATATTGTAACTTTTTGACCTAAAATATACATTTCATTCATTTTTGTACTTACTGGTTCACTTAAAACATGTTTTTTAGAGATTGTAATTATTACCTGAGGTTCAATACACTGTAAGTTATTTAGCCAACAGGAAGCTGAGTTGACAGTTCATTTCTATAAAATATAGTTATCTTACAGGATTTATTATCCTTATGCCTACACAATGATTATGTAGGTAATAGTCTGACAATAAAAAGCAGTATGGTCTGCTGAAGTTTGGAAATGTTTTTTACTTCCTGATATATTCTATCATTATGTATATAGTTACTATGGTTTCTAAAACTTCTGCACAAAATAATAATAAATTTTAAATCGTCCAAATCCTCACCAATTATATCACTTATATCGCTTCCAAATTAGTCCTCTTCTCAACACCACAAAAATAAATATTCTATATTAAATTATAGGACACTTTATTGAGAGCAAGGAGGAAGCAAATTTAGGTGATTTCTTCAGAAACTAGTATCTTTCAACTTGAGGCATTAATATTCTGTGATAAGCAACCCTATCTAGTGAGGCCCAATATCTCTATACTGTTTAAATACCACCCAACTACTTTTAGCAGATACGCAGCAAAGTTAAAGATGGCAACCTGGTTATAAGAGTTTAGTATAGTAAATTAGTAGAATGAACAAATTTTGATCTTAAATCTATCCATATGTTGAAGATATCCCTATGATCCTCTACAATCAAGGGGAGTTTGGATATTTAGAGGAGGGTGTCAGGCTTACTAAATATCACAAAACACTCTGCATAGGACAAAGTCCAGTTATGAAAACAATGTGAGAGAAGAGGAGCATAGGTCCAAACCATAAAGCTGATTTTAGCCATCAACTTCAAGTTGTGGGGGGCAGGGGCCGGCTAACCCCAACCCTATTGTCAACAGGAAACCAAAAAGATAATAGTCACTTCAACATTGGAGGCATAAAATATGTGGAATAAGTCAAGGTTAAGCTGAAGACAATATTGGCAAACATTTCACTATAATTGGTGGTTCAGTGTTTTCTTAAATTAAATTTTCTAGAGTGATTAAATTCACCACTCCTCTAAATAGTAAGTTTTAATTTTTATTTGTGACTTAAAAAGACCATCTAATATATAATACTTTATTTCTTAAAAGGTAAAATTATAAAATGATTTTGACAATAATGGAAATGATGATAAATACATATGGTGGAGCAATAATCCTTTATTAAATTATAATTATTTAAAAACATAGCTATAAAAATCAGTGTTATTAATTCTGAAACCTGTGTTTCTAAAAATTATGTAATCAATTTTTAAAACAGAGCTCTCTAGATTTACAGCCTAACAAGTAATTTAAACTCTAACGACATTGCCATTGTAAAAATTACGATGTATTTTTCAATACATTGTACGTGTACATTTTTAAGTACATAATACATTCTCTATTTTAAGAGAAGTCTTAAATTGTATTTCAGACTTCAAAAATAGCATTGGAAATATTCAAAAAAGCAATTAGGAAATGGGGTAGATTTTTTACTAGAGAAAATATATAGAAATAGAGAGTTAGCCATTGAAGTTTTGCTTACTATAGGCCTAGGCCTTTCTTTCCTGCTCAAAATGATATTAGAACTGATTAAACAATGCTTAACCTATGAACCTAGACAATTCTTGAGTGTTACTTCCACTTTTTTTTTAAATAAAACTCATTTTAAGTGTTAAAAAAAAGGAAAATTTTCTAGTCACACTTACACTTTTTTTGTTATAATTCAATGTAATTAATCAGCATCTTAATTTGATAATTTCCATAGGTATTATAATACTGATATGTAGTTTTATAGTTTTTAGTTGGTATTCAATAAATCATTCAGGCATTTAGGTGTATATATTTACATATATCTAAATTTCTCTTTGAGGTTGATTAAAAGCTTATAATAACAACTTGAAATCAATGATTGCCTTTTTTATTTCTATCATTTGTGGGTCTTATTTCTTAGAAAGTTTGATTTCCAAAATGTAATACTTACATATTATAAAACAATGCTATACTATTAAAGATTAAGAAGAGATGATGACAATGATGATGGTGATATGTTCTAAATCACAGTGTGCACTGGTATCCTGATATTCATAGATCCTCTAGAAATAATTCCCTCAATTCGGAGAAGTTTGATCATCTTAAGCCTTCTTCTCTCAACTCGTCAAAGTCATTCTCTGTCCAGTTTTGTTCCATTGCTGGCAAGGAGCTGCGTTCCTGTGGAGGGGGAGAGGTGCTCTGATTTTTAGAATTTTCAGCTTTTCTGCTCTGTTTTTTCTCCATCTTTGTGGTTTTATCTACCTTTGGTCTTTGATGATGGTGACGTACAGATAGGGTCTTGGTGTGGATGTCCTTTCTGTTTGTTAGTTTTCCTTCTAACAGTCAGGACCCTTAGCTACAGGTCTGTTGGAGTTTGCTGGAGGTCCACTCCAGACCCTGTTTGCCTGGGTATCAGCAGCGGAGGCTGCAGAACAGCGAATATTGCTGAACAGAAAAATGTTACTACCTGATCGTTCCTCTAGAAGCTTTGTCTCAGAGGGGCACCCAGCCGTGTGAGGTGTCAGTCGGCCCCTACTGGGAGATGCCTCCCAGTTAGGCTACTCAGGGATCAAGGACCCACTTGAGGAGGCAGTCTGTCTGTTCTCAGATCTCAAACTCCATGCTGGGAGAACCACTGCTCTCTTCAAAGCTGTCAGACAAGGACATTTAAGTCTGCAGAGGTTTCCACTGTCTTTTGTTTGGCTATGCCCTGCCCCCAGAGGAGGAGTCTACAGAGCAGGCAGGCCTCCTTGAGCTGTGGTGGGCTCCACCCAGTTCGAGGTTCCTGGTCACTTTGTTTACCTACTCAAGCCTCAGCAATGGCGGGCGCCCCTCCCCCAGCCTCACTTTCACCTTGCAGTTCAATCTTAGACTGCTGTGCTAGCAATGAGTGAGGCTCCGTGGGCATGGGACCCTCTGAGCCATGCGCGGGATATAATCTCCTGGTGTGCCGTTTGCTAAGACCATTGGAAAAGCGCAGTATTAAGGTGGGAGTGACCCTATTTTCCAGGTGCCTTCTGTCACAGCCTTGCTTGGCTAGGAAAGGGAATTCCCTGACCCCTTGCACTTCCCGGGTGAGGTGATGCCTCGCCCTGCTTCAGCTTATGCTCGGTGCACTGCACCCACTGTCCTGCACCCACTGTCTGACAAGCCCCAGTGAGATGATCCCGGTACCTCAGTTGGAAATGTAGAAATCACCCGTCTTCTGCGTCACTCACGCTGGGAGCTGTAGACTGGAGCTGTTCTTATTCGGCCATCTTGTGTTGGAAGTTCTGGCCAGGGCAATCAGGCAGGAGAAAGAAATAAAGGGTATTCAATTAGTAAAAGAGGAAGTCAAACTGTCCCTGTTTGTAGATGACATGATTGTATATCTAGAAAACCCCATCATCTCAGCCCAAAATCTCCTTAAGCTAAGCAACTTCAGCAAAGTCTCAGGATACAAAATCGATGTGCAAAAATCACAAGCATTTTTATACACCAATAACAGACAAACAGAGAGCCACATCATGAGTGAACTCCCATTCACAATTGCTTCAAAGAGAATAAAATACCTAGGAATCCAACTTACAAGGGATGTGAAGGACCTCTTCAAGGAGAACTACAAACCACTGCTCAAGGAAATAAAAGAGGACACAAACGAATGGAAGAACACTCCATGCTCATGGGTAGGAAGAAGCAATATCATGAAAATGGCCATACTGCCCAAGGTAATTGATAGATTCAATGCCATCCCCATCAAGCTACCAATGACTTTCTTCACAGAATTGGAAAAAACTACTTTAAAGTTCATAAGGAACCAAAAAAGAGCTCACATTGCCAAGTCAATCCTAAGCCAAAAGAACAAAGCTGGAGGCGTCACGCTACCTGACTTCAAACTATGCTACAAGGCTACAGTAACGAAAAAGCATGGTACTGGTACTGAAACAGAGATATAGACCAATGGAACAGAACAGAGCCCTCAGAAATAATGCCATATATCTACAACTATCTGATCTTTGACAAACCTGACAAAAACAAGCAATGGGGAAAGGATTCCCTATTTAATAAATGGTGCTGGGAAAACTGGCTAGCCATATGTAGAAAGCTGAAACTGGATCCCTTCCTTGCACCTTATACAAAAATTAATTCAAGATGGATTAAAGGCTTAAATGTTAGACCTAAAACCATAAAAACCCTAGAAGAAAACCTAGGCAATACCATTCAGGACATAAGCATGGGCAAAGACTTTATGTCTAAAACACCAAAAGCAATGGCAACAAGAGCCAAAATTGACAAATGGGACCTAATTAAACTAAGGAGCCCTGGAGTTTGAGACTGCAGTGAGGTACAACCATGCCATTATAGTCCACACTCCAGCCAGTACAACAGAATGGGATCTTGTATTAAAAAAAAAATCTGGTTGTCTTCAAGATAGTTTTTTTCTCAGTTTATGTACTTGCCAAGACATATTTCTGCTATTGTCAAAGAAGTGATGAAAAGTGAAAGAGGAAATGTTATGTTGAAAGCTGTTATATATCATGGAATTTTGTTGTAATTTCTCCTAAGAAATACTTTAATCTAAGTTTTAACATTGTCATCAAGAAATCATTTTTTTTTGTTTTTTTGTTTTTTTTTTTGCTGCATCACAAAGTGTTAATCAAGATTTTCAAAAATAATGAAGCACATTTAATCACATTGCCATTCACTAAGAGTATCATAATTAATATTTGGGTGAGAGTAAAAAGATTGTGTTGTTAATAAATAAGTTATTTTAAATATTGTTTATCTTTTTTTAATTTTTTTAGTATTTATTGATCATTCTTGGGTGTTTCTCAGAGGGGGGATTTGGCAGGGTCATAGGACAATAGTGGAGAGAAGGTCAGCAGATAAACATGTGAACAAAGGTCTCTGGTTTTCCTAGGCAGAGGACCCTGCGGCCTTCCGCAGTGTTTGTGTCCCTGGGTACTTGAGATTAGGGAGTGATGATGACTCTTAAGGAGCATGCTGCCTTCAAGCATCTGTTTAACAAAGCACATCTTGCACCGCCCTTAATCCATTTAAACCTGAGTTGACACAGCACATGTTTCAGAGAGCACGGGATTGGGGGTAAGGTTATAGATTAACAGCATCCCAAGGCAGAAGAATTTTTCTTAGTACAGAACAAAATGGAGTCTCCTATGTCTACTTCTTTCTACACAGACACAGTAACAATCTGATCTCTCTTTCTTTTCCCCACATTTCCCCCTTTTCTATTCGACAAAACCGCCATCGTCATCATGGCCCATTCTCAATGAGCTGTTGGGTACACCTCCCAGACTGGGTGGCGGCCGGGCAGAGGGGCTCCTCACTTCCCAGACGTGGTGGCCGGGCAGAGGGGCCCCCCACCCCCCACACGGGGTGGCTGGGCAGAGGCACCCCCCACCTCCCAGATGGGGCAGCTGCTGGGCGGGGGTGCCCCCCACCTCCCAGACGGGGCGGCCAGGCAGAGGCGCTCCTCAGTACCCAGACGGGGTCACGGCCAGGCAGAGGTGCTCCTCACATCCCAGACGGGGCGGCCGGGCAGAGGCGCTCCCCACATCCCAGACGATGGGCAGCCAGGCAGAGACTCTCCTCACTTCTTCCTAGACAGGGTGGCGGCCGGGAAGAGGCGCTCCTCACTTCCCAGACTGGGCGGCCGGGCAGAGGGGCTCCTCACATCCCAGACGATAGGCAGCCAGGCAGAGACGCTCCTCACTTCCTAGATGGGGTGGCGGCCGGGCAGAGGCTGCAATCTCAGCACTTTGGGAGGCCAAGGCAGGCGGCTGGGAGGTAGAGGTTGTAGTGAGCGGAGATCATGCCACTGCACTCCAGCCTGGGCAACATTGAGCACTGAGTGAGCAAGACTCCCTCTACAATCCCGGCACCTTGGGAGGCCTAGGCGGGCAGATCACTCGCGGTCAGGAGCTGGAGACCAGCCCGGCCAACACGGCGAAAACCTGTCTCCACCAAAAAATACAAAAATCAGTCAGGCATGGCAGCGCATGCCTGCAATCCCAGGCACTCGGCAGGCTGAGGCAGGAGAATCAGGCAGGGAGGTTGCAGTGAGCCGAGATCGCGGCAGTACAGTCCAACCTCGGCAACAGAGGGAGACCGTGGAAAGTGGGAGACAGAGATGAGGGAGAGGGGGAGACCATGGAAAGTGGGAGATGGAGACGACGGAGAGGGAGAGGGGGAGACCGTGGAAAGTGGGAGATGGAGATGACGGAGAGGGAGAGGGAGAGGGAGAGGCAAGAAAGCATTTGTTAAAAACTTAACTGGACAAAGTTTGGATAAAGACAATTCTAGAAAATGGAGCTATGTAGAAAAATATCCATCCCTGGTTTTATTAGGTGGAACTATATGAAATTTACATATTTTAATAAAATAACTGATTTATTCTCTTTAAAAATATTAATGTTATAATATAAAATATATAATATAAAAATATTAATATTATCAATGATAAGGAAAGGCAGAAAACCATCCCAGATTAAGAGATGAAAGAGACACAACAATTAAACACAATACATGCTCTTGAACTGACATAGATTAAAGGATGGCATCTATATTAAGTTTTCTAAATTTGATTATACAAGTGTCTGAATCTGTGTTTATAAAAGGAAATATCCTCATTAGATAATGCACATCAAAGTATCAAGGTGTAAAAGAAGATGATAAATATAATAAACTCTCAAGTGCTTCAGAACAAAATCTATAATGTATATATTTAAAATGAAAGAAAGTTAAAGCAAATGTGGCAAGGTATTAAAAATTTGTGAATCTCAGTAAAGGGAATACAAGAGTTCTTGGTACACTCTTGAAACTTTTTATAGTTTGGAAGTATTCAAAATAAAAGTTAAAAAATAGTTGAGTACCAGCAGTTTCGGATGGCCCAACATGATTATCATTTAAGACTGAATTATACATGCAGCACTTTGAATTATGTATAAGACATTTTCTTTCTAGTCTACTTTTATAGACTTGAGAGCTTCATTTCATACAGAAGCTCATCACACTACCATTAGGCAGAACCATGGATACTCTACAGCCTTAAAGTCATAAGGAATCCTTGTTTTAATTTTTTGTACATAAAATACCACCTGGGCAGAGGTCTACAATATCTTTTTATTCCAAGTACATGATTTTCTTTTAGTAAGATTAAAATGTTACTATCTAATTATATCAGGGTTTCTAACTTATAATTAATATGCAGCTTGAAGTATTTGTGATATAAAGCCAACACCTTCTCCACTTCTCAACCAAATAACAAAAATCAAGCATGCAGTAATCTCACTTATTATAGTAAACTGAATGTCTCTTGTCATAATCTCACAAAAAACCATATCACATATCTGGAAAAACTTATGAAGCATATGTTACTACTCCTGAAGAAGCACAGTGTTCCATTAAATTTGAAAGGCAGCATGAAGCACCTTGCAGATTATACTCAGACCAGACATATGTGTCAAAATGAATCAAGATCCATTTTCCTTTTAAAATGTTGATGCCAAATAAATTGATGTAATCTGACATTGGTAGCACTGAAGTTTATCTCCATTCAGTACAGAAATCTCTCTATCACTCTTGCCCCCAAAAAATTGCTCTCTTCACAATTCAAATATATAGGAAAACAACATTTTCTATTACTGAGTAATCAGAAGGAAGATAGACATGAAAGAAACTAGTCATGGCTTTTAAAACTAATGGCTCCATCACACACACACAAAAAAAACCTGTCAGAAATAAAATGAGGTATAGGAGTATATCTGTACAGTCATAGTTTTACAACTGCACTTGAAACATTAGTTTCGATAAGAATTATTTCACAAGAAGAAATAACAGCTTTAAAAATAAATAAAAGCACAAATTTTATGCCATTGTGCCTTGATTTTTTACTAACCAAGAAAGTGAAATTAAAAGTGGAAATTTTTATGTGCTGCTTTACCTGGGAAATCCTCTCCATTCTTTCTGAAATCTGTACTTTTGTGGGATAGTATTATTCTTTAACTGAAACACACTCCATATTATCAGATATATTACACCCAAGTGTTCACTTTATTTGAAACATACACATGGGTTCACAGCTATAGATCAGTGTTTAATTATGAAGATGAAATTTTTGCTGACATGATATTTCTGTCAGGCATGAGCCACTGCACCTGGCCAAGCTTTTAAAAATATGTTAATTTTCTGTGAAATAAGCCTGGCATGTGGTGTGGTATGAACTCAGTAAATGTTAGAATCTAACAGTTCTTTCTTTTTATGTTATATAATCATAATTTACTTCAAGACCATTTGTAAGAAGGTAGTAATATGTTATAAAAAAATTAATAGAAACTCAGTTTTTATGGAGGTATATGTTTTACCATATTAATCCTCTTGCAAAATGTAAATAGTATATGACACATGAACAAATAAATTCAGAGCAACAAATTTTGTTAGATATTTTCCTTCAAGTTATTTATCATGTAATTATTTTATATTGGAATATGATTTAGAAGAGAAAATCACATAGAAAATAATTCATATTTTAATGTATAAAATTTTGTATAATACAATCTCTTAGTTTTATGATTATGATTTAAAATTTTCATATATCTGTAATAACTTTGAAGCACATTGAAGACTGAAATCACATATACTATACCATAATAATTCATTAAGCTTTATAATCAATTCACTTTGATTTGTACTAAAATTTATTTTTCTCCTATTCTTATTTGGTCATATTAATTTAACCTAATAATTTTCTGTCATTGCCGCTGAAAATCAATATGTGTATGTGTATGTACACTAAATTACATAAAAATATAACTAAAACACTTTGTTATGAGTATTCTGTTTTCGTAACTTTGTGATGAGCTTTATGTATCTGCATAACAGCAGTCTGTTGATTTTTTTTTCTCAGAGTTTATATAACTCTGTGCAGTTCTGAGACCTGCCATGATTGTGCTGGGAGTCATTTACAGATGATCTATTTCTTCTGTTGGGAATACAGAACACAAGTTTTCCTTATTGTTCTGGACATCTCACCCACTAAACCATACGTTTTCTCTGAGGACAGAAGTAAATAGCACTATTTGTTCTCAAAGATGACTAACTGTTTTTGAAATGTGAGGAAGCTCATGGTAAATGTGCAGAATGTTAGATATAAATAAGAAAAATGAAGCAGCAGAAATAAATCTTTTATGATTTCTTCTCTCATTCATTTATATGGAGGCTATCTTTTGCCACAGCTACAGGTGACAAAAAACAAAAAAATTACCAGTTTAAAGTATTCCCGAAAAAATAGTATTAATTTCATCATCAGCCTGAAAATGCACTTATGGTAAACTTTGTAAAAAGTTCACACTAAATATTGATTTACAATTAATCTTTGCTTCATTTACTGTATTTACAATCCTGGGAATATTATTTTATTATTGTTAAATTTAATTTTTATGACCTTATTTTCTCAACATGTATTATTTTATACCTATCTTTTTGTAATAAATATTCTATAATTCAGACATTAAAGATGAAGGAAAGAAGTATTAGAATTTTCTGCAACTGAATATAGCCAACTATAAGATGGAACTTTATTACCTATATGATGGACAACAAATAGTTTATTGGCACTTGTTCAGGAAATAGTTTCTTCTCACCTAAAGTAACTGGAACAAGATAAATTGTCCTTCTACATGCTGAATGATCAAACATAAAGTGGAAAAAATAGAGGAGTAGCATTAGAATAAGTCAGGAAATTTAACCAAGCTGAGAGATAATGGCAAATTATATTTTCCAAAGATGGTCACATTCATACATATTCCACCCTAACATGCTCTGGAAATATGAAACTGAATACCCCTCCACTTGAATATGGACTTAGTAGTGATTCTAATAAATGGAATGCAGCAGAAGCAGCACTTTATGATGTCTGAGTATAGGTTATAAAAGATAATACAACTTCCATATGGTTATCTCACCCTAGGTTATGCTCATGCAAGGATCACAATCACTATGCTCTAAAGAAAGCGTGTTGCCACACAGAAAGAATGCATGTCAGTTTTCTGGTAGTAATCCCAGAAGGTAAACAGCTTCAAGTACCAGACACGTAAGTGAGTCTCTAATGATTTCAGGGCTCAACCTTCAAGCCTCTGCGGCCAAGTGGAACAGATAGGAGCTTTCCGCACAAAAGTCTGCTAAATTACAGATACTTAATCAAAATAAATGTCATTGTTTTAAGCCATTATCTTCTGGAGTGTTTTTTATTTGCTTTTTAAAAATCTAGCAACAAATAATAGGAACAGATGAAATTTAAGGCAAGTTCTGAGATGAGGATAGACTTGTTTGCTATTTAAATATTCAGAGTAGAAATACTGCAAACTATGGTTCTTTCTACTAACTCACAGTCATGATATTTGTACATATTTAACAAAACTAGTATTAAGTCTACAAATCCCCACCTGGGGAAAAAACATATACACATGTAACAGGATAAAATAATCATCAGTTTTATAATTATGTAACCAGTATTAAATAAATTGGGTCAAATATAGTATAATTCTATTAAATATAAATATCTAAAATGGTGTAACAATTAAGCTTTTATTCGTTTATATTTTCTGGGAGATTGCTTTATTTCAAAAACTTGTTTTGAAATACTTAACAGTTAATTGCTTTGTGTTTCTAAGAATGTAGGAAATACTGTTTTCTATTCTTACTCATACTTGTAGTATTTATTTGAAAGCACAGACTGCCCCTATTGTAAATTTAATTTCAAATATTTAAATGTCTCATCTATTTTAAGTAAATCACCTGAACTATAAACATACAATGCATAGAAGATACTATAACAATGTTTCTTCATGTGTTTTTTCTTATATTTATTCTCAAATAAAACCACCTATTTCATTAGAGAAGATAAGCTGGGCTGTGCCTTTTTGTAACCATGACATGAGTCCCTAACATAAAATAGAGAGAATATATATGGATAGTATCGAATTTGTATCCTAAATAAATGGAGTTATGCCTTCTCCTTTTACCCATTTATCCACAAGGTATCACCACTTTTGGTTCATTTCTTCTTTTTGAGATCTTAATATGATATAGCTGAACAACAGTAACAAATCTACTGTCCTTATTTCAGAAGAAAAAGAGAATTAGTTGGTACTCTGCATATGCACATTAAATCTGCTCCAAGATCATATTGCTTAGACTGAGAGCTTAAAAATAACTGGAGAACTAGTAGAAAACTTGTCTTCTGCACTCAGAAAAGTGTCAAACATGCTGCCAGTGATGATAGGGGATTGTTTATAGGTAAATGTATACTATCATTGTTTTAGTTTTTCCTTTCTTAATCCAAAAGCCTCATTTTGAAGTCATCCTGGTTACAGAAGAAACATTTTTATTACTTTTTATTTCACCTCAAGCAAAATTAACAAATTCAGAGGATTTTACTTATATATTCTTCTAAAGCCTTTTGGCAAAAGTAATTGTAACTTACTAATAATATCACTGGCCTCAAATTTAGATCGCATTTTCTAATGAGCTCAAAATAATTTTATTTCCCCCTGACTATGCCCAGAGATTCCAGCAAACTAAGTAAAAACTATTATTACTATTATTACTTCAAGGATAGAAAAATTAAATAAAATGAATTTCTGGAGGACATGTAATATAGCAGTAAATTACAGACTTATTGAGATAGTTGTTTGTTAATGGTTTATTACAAATGAATTGCTCACTTTCCATCCTAACTCCTTCCCTTCCTCTTTCTTTCCCTTTTTTCTGTGCACAGATGTTAAATTAATGCTTAGTATGTGTCAGGTACTGAGGATCTGAGGTTACAGAAATGGTTTTTTTTTATGATCTATGCTTTTGAGGTGATCACTGTGTAGTTTGAATAAAAGTAGATTAATCACACAACTCCACAGCAGTAGAATAAGTGTTACACTGAGAGCTATGAACAAGCATACAAGAAAGACTGGCGAACTCTAAGAGGCCCTGGGAGAAAAGTAAGGATCACAGAATCAGGTGAAAGGGAACAGAAGTGACGATTAGAAAAAAGGTTGATCCTCATTATTTATTAATTCCATATTTGTGAATTTGCCTACTCACTAAAATTTATGTGTAACCACAAAGTCAATACTTGTGAAAATGTCATGGACATTTGAAGATTTGTGCAGAGTGAAAAATATTTGAGATACCTGACATGCATATTCCCAGCTGAAGTCAGACAAGACTATGCTCTGCCTTATTATTTCAGTTCTTATACTGTAAACGTTTCCTTTACAAGGTCCATTTAAAGCCATGATTTTGTGAGTTTTGTTGGTGATTTCACTGTGTAAAACAGCCCCAAGCATAGTGCTGAAGTGCTTTCTAATCCCCCTAAATACCAGAAGTCATTGATTTACTTTTCAGAGATAATTTGTATGTTAAATAAGCTTCATTCAGGTACAAATTATATTCCTGTTGCCTGTATTATTAAATAATGTATTTTTAAACAGTAACACAAAAAGCAAGCTTATGTTATTTAAGAATTGCTAATAATGTTGTGACCAGAGGCTCACAGGAACCTAGCCCTATATCTCCCTTAGGAACAATGGTTCAGAATTAACTAATTCAGTGTTTGCAGTAAAACAAAATTACCATGAATAACAAGGATTGACTGGATGGGGTATCTCAAGCAACAGATTTTTCTTATTCCATAGATATTTTCAAATAATATTATTTTGGTTTTGCTTTTTTCTCTCTCATTCACAAGTATGAAAATAGTCCGTTTGTCTTATTCATCTTTTTATTTTTAGTAAAATGCTCACTATATACTAGTAACTCAATATATGGTTTTTGAATGTTTTTTGGATCATTGAGAGTGAAGAACGTGGATGCTGAAGAGAAACAATTGGCTTATTAATATCTAATTGGTCTGAATATAAATTCTCTGAGGCTTTTTGGTAATCAGTATTTTAGAGAAATTATAATTTTATTACAAATTACCCTCGGTTAGATATCCTTAAAGAAATAAATTTTTAAAGAGAATCTGCTTAAAACATCTAACTGTCATGTTTCAAATTTGGGGGTAGTAGGAGGATTGTTTCCAGTTTGATATTTATGTCAAAGCTGCAAGCCACATTTTTGGTTGTCAATTATGTGCTAGATTTCTTCCCTGTATCTTAGTCCAGATCTGCTTTCTAACCTTGTCAATTCTGCTCCTAGGAGCTCACCTGTTTATATCACAATGATTGTAGGAGATTTGAGGGAGAAAAGATAACTATTTCCTATCTTTAGTAGACTGCATGCCTAAATCATACTCTCCTTGAATGTTTCAATATATATTGCTGTGATTTATAAAAACAGAACAAAACAAAGCCCTAAGACAATAATCAATGACTTCTCATTCATAACTAGCTCACCCAGTTTCAACTCTAGACTGCAAGTCAAACTGAAATTTGCTACCACCTTAAAAAGCACCATCTACTGTCTGCCTGTGCTATGACCATCTAATGTGGTTGGAAGAAGCACAAGAAGTCAACCTGAAAAACAAAGCTTACATAATAATCAGCTTGTCTAGAAGAATGGTTTTCCAGAATGTTCAATTTGTAGAAAAAGTATCTGACAGTATATGAAATACCAGAAGACATTATACAAGCACAGACCACACATACACACACAGAGATATGTGAGTGTGTATATATATATATATATATATATATATATATACATTTTTCTTTTCAGAGATAATTTGTGTGTATACATATATAAACACACACATATATACACATATACACATATGTGTGTGCATGTGGTTTGTGTGTGTAGAATATTTATACATATATACTAATTTTAATGAACTCAATTATTTTAATGGCTGAATATGTCTCTGTGTGTGTATATATATAAACACAAATGTCATTTAGAAATGCCAATGTGATATTTTTGTCTAGAATTTTTTAAAAGGTTAACTTGTTTTATATTCCACTGTAAAAATAAAGATATAACGGTATTATATGACCGCTAAATATTATCTGAAACAATGTTATGTCAACCAAAATTCAGAAAACAATAAGCAGATGTATGATGATTTGGAAGGCAATATGTTACAGCCTAATGACTGTGAGTCATCCAAACTTGCTAAAAATCAAACTTGCCTAACATTGTCTCATTTTATGACCTTTTCACTTGATATTACCTCTACAAGAAATTATCTCTACCCAGATATCTGTGTAGTTCTTTTCCTCACTTTATTGTAGTCTGTGTTCAATTTCATTTTTTTAGGAAGGGTTTTCAGTAATCACCCTTACCAAAATAGTACAATGTTATTACTCTGTTCTGTTTTTTTCCGCTAGTGCTTATCATGAACAAATATGGCATTAAATACTTATTTAATTTTTGCTAATAGAATGTAAACTTTGTAAGGGCAAGGTATATATCAATTTTATTCAATAAAGTGTTATCAATGTCTAGAATAATACCTATTACATAGTTAGCAGTCAGAAAATAAGTTAAATGAATTATGTCTTTGAATGTTAGGCATATGATAAATTCGTATTGAAAATTAGAAGTCACGATACATAAAATGGATATGACAATTTATAATCCCATTTTGTCCATGATTTCCACTCATATTAACATTAGTTCTAACAGTAAGCGATACTCATTAATTACTTATCTGCCTAAGGCTCTTTAATATAAAATATTCTAATGGTTTTTAAATTGTGACAGATTTACCCTCAAGGAATGTTTTGCCTAAGGATAAAGAATATACTCTAGACATATTAAATAAGCATATCAACAAATGTAGGAAAATGTTTTCTCATCGTATCTTTATCACAATATATGCATTAAAGCTTGACTTTATTTAAAGAACATAAAGAAAACAGTAAATTTTTTTTCTATTGTATTGTGGCTTTTTAGAAATATCTTTAAAGTTAGCATTAAATTATATACCTATGTACATCATTTCAGATTTCTTATATATAAGATGTATGTTAGATTCTTAAAAATATATAATTTCAGAAATGAGATATTAAATATCTACATCCTACCTCTCTTGTGAAATTTAATGTTCCCAATTGGCTGAATGTATTGTTAGGATATTTTGAAAATTAGCGATATTTTTTATAATTACATATATAATTAATACAAAATCACAACAATTTATAAGGATTAGACCTTTGCATGATGATTATATAATTAGTAAAAAAATTTGAACTACAATTTACCATATAAATCAATGCTTCCATGTTTGTGCCTTTATTTTGTAAAGCCAAATGGACTTTCCCTCCCACTCCATCATGGCATTAATACAATCAAGAAAATTAAAGGATATATATTGAGTTTTCAGAGTTACAATCAAAGATGGGGTTTGTCGCTTAGGATTCTTCTGCCATCGTTAAAGACTTGCATAAGTTTATACACATCAAGAAGAAAAAGCTATACTGTTTAAAGGTCTAAGAACATCTAAAAGAAAACATAACTAGCTTATAGGCATTATTATCTAAATGTAAAAAGTAATGTCTATTATTCTGTAGAGCAGATGGGTGTTTTGTGCCTCATATTGCCACTAAACAGATATTTTTGCTTTCACTTTGTAAAATTAAAATGTCCATTGAGGAAATTTCTTTGCAAATAAATTTTTCTCCAAAGTCATAAGTTATTTTCTCTTGGTAACATGTGGGGTGCTAAAATGCTATATCCCTTAACATTGAATTTCTATTTAAAAGAAGTTCTGTCTTTCTCCAGCTACTTATGAATTCTTAGTAAATTAAATATTCAAAATTCCATCTCATTTGGATCATCTTAGTTGAAACCAATCACTGTCACCAATATGAGAAAATATGCCCCAACTAAAAAGTGTGATTTACATCAGCTTGCCCAGAGTTTTCTGGTGAACTCTTGCCCAAAGCACTTGACAAGAATAGAGATCCCATTCTAGAGATTAGTATAATAGAAAAAAAATACATTTTCTTTCTACAAGAGGTCTTTTTCTTTTACGTGAATAATACATCTATTTTATGTGTGTATACATTAAATGTCATTACTTAAAATACACATAAAAAGAAAAAAGTATAAGTAACAATAATATATATTGCTCAGGACAGAAAGTTAAGTTTGATGTCTTCTTAATGAGTTCACAATTTAAATCATTTATAAACAGTTCTGATTTTCCTGGATAATGTATTCCTTTAGGAACCAAGCCAAAAATATGTTTACTTGTGAGAATGCAATCCATTGCTCTAAAATATAGTAAGCCAAGAAGTAACTGTTCTAGTTTTATGCTCTTCCTTAATTAATCAATACCTTTTACTGTTGAGAAAAATTGAGCCAGAGCAACCATTTTATAAATAAACCACTTGAGTCTCAAAATGCTGTGTTTCCTTAGCTAAATTTGAGAAGGCTGACTCCATCAAAGAATTTTTTTATGCTTTTTATTTACAAATGCTTAGATAAACTTAGAAAAAAGAGAGATAAGTCTCATAAAAGAAGTAATAGAGAAATTACAAGTAATAAAAAAGAAGACTGCTATATACAATTATGTACCAACTAATTGAACAATCTAGAAAATAAAATAAATTACTAGAAACATAACCTACCAATACTGAATCAAAAAAAAAAAGGAAATCTGGACAGATCAACAATTGAAAAAGAAAATCAAATCAGTAAATAAAAGCCTTCAATCAAGGAAAAACTCAGGATCAGCTGGCTTCATGGCTAGATTCTACCACACAGTCAAAGGAGAACAATCTTTCTCAAACCCTCCCAAAAATGCAAAGGGAAGGAATAAGTTCATTTTCTAAGGCCAGCATTTCCATGACACCAAAGCCAAAGGCGTTACAAGAAAAGAAAACTACAGGCTAGTACCACTCATAAAAATAGATTTTAAAATCCCCAACAAAATACTAGCAAACCATCTTCAATGGTACATTAAAAGAATCATTCATCATGTTCAAGTGGAATTTATACCTGTGATACAAGGTTAGTTCAACATAAGCAAATCAATAAATATGATTCACCATATCAACAGAATAAATAACAAAAACCATATGATCTCAACAGAAGCAGAAAAAGTATTTGACACAATTTAAAATTTTCATTATAAAAATTCTCAACAAATTAGCGGTAGAAGAACTGTTCCTCAATCAATAAAGGCCGTATATCATAAGCTCACAGCTAATGTAATACCTGAGGGTGAAAAGTTGAAGGCTTTTACTCTAAGATCAGGAACAAGGTAAGAATTCTCACTCTCACTATTTTTGGTAAACCCAGTAAAGGCAGTCCTAGCCAGAACAACTATACAAGAGAAAGAAATAAAAAAAAAAAATTCAAATCAGAAAGAATGAATTAAAATTGTCTCTGTTTGAATACATGATCTTATCTACAAAAAAAAAAAAAAACCCTAAAGACTCCACCAAAAAACTGTATAAAACTTATGTTTCACTTTGTTTCCTGTTGCTATAACAAAATATTACAGACTGGGTAATTTATAAAGAAAATAAATTTATTACTGTTATAGAAGATGGGGAGACCAAGACTGAGGGGCTACATCTAGCGAGGGCTTTCTTACTGTGATATAACATGGCAGAAGGACACGACATGATTGGAGTGTGCCTGCCAGATCTCTCTTCCTTTCTTTTTAAAGCAATCAGTACTATCATGGGAGATTACCTTCCAGCCTCCAATCAACACATAAATTTAGAGCTTAAGTTTTTAACATACGGAATTTTGGGGACACATTCAAACCGTAGCCGCTAATAAACAAATTTAGTAAAGTTGTGGGATACCAATTCAACTTATGAAATTAGTAGCATGTTTATACATTAACAACAAACTCTCTGAAAAAGAAGTTAAGAAAACAATACCACTTACAAAAGCAAAATAAAATACATGAGAGTGAATTTAACAACAAAAGTAAAATTTCTGTGTACTGAAAATTTAAAAATATTGGTGAATGAAATTAAAGACATAAATACACATAAATAAGTGGAAATATAGACCATGCTTTTGGAAGAATTAATGTTGTTAAAATATTATACTGCCCCAAGCAATCTACTAATTAAATAAAACTCCTATCAAAGTTCCAATGTCATTCTTCAAATAAATGGAAAGAATATTCTAAAATTTGTATAGAACTAAAAAAGTTCCTGAATAGTCTTAACAATCTTGACCCCAAAAAAAGGCAGGACATACAGCAATACTGAATTTCAAAATATATTAGAAAGTATAGTAACAAAAACAATATGGTACTGGCATAAAAACATACACACTTACCAATGATAGAGAACCCAGAAATGAAGCCATATAATTATAGTCAATTGATTTTCAATAAAGGAGTAAAGAACACACATTGGAGAAAGGACAATCTCTTTAATAAATTGTGTTGGGAAAACTGGATATTCATACAGAGAAGAATGAAAATGTATCTTTATATCAACCCTTACACAAGATTCAACTCAAATTGGATCGGAGATTTAAATGTAAGACCTGAAACTATAAAACTGCTAGAAGAAAACATAAGGGAAAGCCTTTGTACACTGGTCTTAGCAGAGATTTTATAAATACGACACACAAAGCACAGGCAATAAAATAAAAAATAGGCACATGAGATACCATCAAACTAAAAAGCTTCTGCACAGCAAAAGAAACAGTGAAATGATGAGACAACCCACAGATTGTGATGAAATCCTAGCAAATCTTACCTCAGATAAGGGGCTAAAACCCAAAATATACAAAAAACTCAAACTATTCAATAAAAAGAAAACAAATAATCATATTAAAGTATAAGCAAATAAATTGAATAGACATTTCTCAAAAGAAGACATACAAACAACCAATAGATATATTAAAAATGGTCAACATCTTTAATAATTAGAGAAATGCAAATTAAAAACATAATGAGATATTATCACCTCACATCTGTTAGATTGGCTGTTATCAAAAAGATGAAAGATAAATGTTGGTGAGGACAAGGAGAAAGTAAAATGCTCATAAATTGTTGATGATGTTTTAAATTAGTACAGCTCATTTGTAAAATAGTAAAAACATTCTCAAAAAACTAATAACAGAACTACCATATGATCCAGCAATCACACAGCTGGGTATGTATCCAAAGGAAAAAAAATAATAATGTGCTGAAAGGATGTCCACATGCTCATGTTCTTTGTAGCATTATTCACAATAGTCAAGATACAGATGAAAATATTTTTAAAATGTGATATATATGCAAAATGATATACTATTCACCCTTTAAAATGCAGGCAATTCTGTCACTTGTGACAATATGGATGAAGCTAGTTCATTACGTTAACTGAAAAAAGCCAGACACAGAGAGACAAACACTGTATTATCTCGCTTATATATGGTACCTAAAAATGTCGCAATTATAAAATAAAGAGCAGAATGGTGATTACTAGAGGGTAGATGTGAGGGCGGAAGGGAAATGGGGAGACATTGGCCACCAGGCACAAAGTTACAGTTAGATAAAAAACATAAATTCTGGTGTTCTACTGTACAGCAAGGTAACTATAATTAACAATGTATATTTAAAAATAGCTAAAAGAGGATTTTAAGTATTTTTATAACAAAGAAATAATAAATATTTGAGGTGATCAATATGCTAATGACTCAAACTTGATCATTCCAGAATCTATACATCTATCACTATCACTGTATACCCCACAAATATATGAAATTACTATGTATCAATTAACAGTAAAATTTAAAAAATTAAGTCCTCCTGACTTCCCCCAGCCTCTTACAACATAAGAGCCTGACAGAGCAAAATGATTATAATTAAGCAGAAAATAATGTGGCACACAGCAAAGGAAACAGAATGGTTACAGTTACTGAGAGACTATGAGAAGAAAGAAGATGGGAGAGAAAGGTCTTAAATAGAAATGCCCCTGCCAACCATAACAAAGCTGGTTAAGAGATGGTATAATGTTTAAGAAAATGTCTAAACAGATTTCTTATGATCAAGTTTCAATTTTGCCACTTATCATCTATCATTTCTGGCACTTAGCAATTTACTGAATTTCTTTTTGCTTCAATTTTATTATTTTCAAATTGGACCTCTACCTTGCTCAATTAGTCTGAGTAATAATTACGGTAAAAGATGTAAACTTAAAGTACACTTTGTAAAATATTCTATTAGTCTATAACAAAATTCTAATGAGTATTGGTGACTTAATAATTGAAATTAAATTCCCATTCCCACTTGAGTTTAATGCAGATGGAGGTAAATGATTTCTGGAAGGGAGACCTATAACTCACTGGAACGAATGACTCGGACTCTTCTGATTGCATTGCTCTCACCACCACTAGGTTATAAAAATCCATAAGCATATGAGGAAAGAGACTGACCATCACATGGGACATTTTAAAACAGGTTTTCTGGAACTGGCAACATCAATTCCAGTCAGATTCAATTTGCCAGAACCCAGGGACATGACCACATTAACTTTAAGTAAGGCAGAAAAAACATGTTTGCTGTGAGTCCTGAAGTCAAAGAGAAAACAGGATTAATGCTCACCACTTGCAGGCTCTACCATGTACATTTTTATAGTCCTTTGTAATGTAAACTATTAATGTTCCTATTAAAACAAATATCCTATTATCATTAATTTGAATAGGGTGGATACCCATGAGGTGCTTTCACCACCTGTAGACTATATAAGAGCTTAAAATTTCAAGTCAAAGCTGAAATTATGAACCATGTTGCATATTCTTTTGAACTGTTTGAATTGACTGCATAACAGTAAAAATCAATATTTATGAATTATACTACACATATATTCCATTATTTCTTTTTAGATTACAGAAAGTATACCCAGTGTTTGTGACAGTTCAGCCCATCAGAAGGAATCAATAAAGATAAAAAATTATTCAGACATTAGAGAGTACTAAGACGTCTCCATATGAAAATATGGATTTCATTGGTGATGATGGTAATGTGTGTAGGCAGCTGAAATCTATAAAACGGGCACATCAGTGGAGAAAAGAAAACCCATAGGGCCTTAGTAATAATTACTTATAAGCATTTAATAAGAAACCTTGTTACTAGTTAGTGCTAAGGATTTATTGAGAATATGCATTGACTTTAATCAAGTAACTAAGAAAAAAATGCCTTTCACAATTAAAATTTCATTGAAATTATAAAGCATGAATACAATTAATTCTAACATCAATTAAAAATCTAGAAAACATTTAAAGTTTGCTTGTACTGTATTTATGTGGCAAATTTATACTTTGGATTATTAATAATGAGTAATGACCTCTATGACATTGCTGCTCCTCACCCCCTTAAGTGAATCCACATTTTATTGAAAGAATAGAGAAATATTTTTATTGACAAATCAAGTACCACTTCACAGACTTGACCACATTTTCTGGAGTGTAGCCTTAACAGGAATGGATTGGGCAAAAGTCTAGTTTCACTTATTTTCTTTTGGTTCTCCTCCTTGGGTATTGTTTTATGTATTTGTCTTTTTATATGAGAGTGAATTGTGTAGGATTTTAGATTTAGGCTTGGCATGAAAGTGGGGAAAGTAAGTTGTCTGTTCTGAGTATGAGTTAGCTGAGATTAAATTATGTTGTCTTAACAAACAATACAAAATTCTACAGTGGTTTATGTTATTCAATTATGTTCACTCATCTCACATCATCTTTACACCAGAACTCAGGCTATAACAGCAACTGTCTCTTAAACATTGTGAATCTTGGGAAACAAGACAATATGCCAAATTATATGATGACTTTATCATTTATGCATTGAAGTAATACAGGTCATACCTACTTACTTTTTCTTTTTATGTCCTAGCCTGTTATTAAAGGGTGGGAATGTATAATCCTCCTTTGGAATTGGGAAGCAAATACTTTTGAACAATAAAATAATCAATCACAACATATTCTCCTTCTCTTAAATTTTTACTTCCATCACCCTCTCACATGAAACAGATACCAAATAAGACAACCTAAACATTTCATCCAAAGGCTCTACCAAGCTCCAGGACTTTGTAATTTTTCAAATCAAGTATGAGAATGTATATGTTCTCCTCTTGTTCTGGAAGACTGAAAACAAAAAGAAAATTTATTTCCACTCATACTCTGACACTTATATATTTAAAAGCGAAAGTTGGAGAGAGATAGGATAAATGACCCTAAATACTCCTTTTTGAAAAAAGAAAGAAAAGAAGACACACAGTTGTCACTGGTTCATAGCAATTGTAAAATCTCTTGGGCAGAAACAGTAAGGGTCTCCTTGCCTGGGGGTTGAAAATATTCTTTTGTAATATTCCATTTTTCTCTCTATGAGATTGTTCCTTGCCCATTGCTTTTTATTCTTAGCTGTTCTTTCAAGCAGGCCTTTCTATTCCCAATATATTGCTTGGCCACCTGTGAGGATTCTATAAAAACATAGGCATTTCATAAAAATGACACTCTTTTCTCAACTTGCTTCCTATCCATTGATGGTTGGGGCCAAAGATTTATTTTAATTCCTGAACATTTACAGTCCCTGTCAGTCCAGTATGCATGCTCTTTAACAGTATACCTCTCGAAAATAGTAAAATTCTAATGAATTAGATTGTGTCATCTCCAAGTGTCATTAGCCACACTCATAAAGTTTTGAGACAAAATTCTCTCTCTCTCTAGACTTAATTGAAAGTAACTTGAGTCTATTAGGCTTCAATGGAAGAGCTATATCTTCAGTCTCTTTTTCCTTAAACCTCACTATGTAATTGAGAAAATCTACAGGGCACCAACTTTTGACTCAGACATCTTTGCAGTGAATTAGATATACCTTTCCTGCTGAAACATCTCAGTTTTGTCTCTTCCTGGATGGACAGAAATATCACTTCTACTTTTTAACCTGCCGTATTTCTCTAATTTTTAATATCCCTAAATATTTTGCCATTTTAATTTTTATTATTTATTTCAATTATTTTTGAGCCCTTTTCTTTTTGTCAAATGCTATCTATAGCAACCTAGCCTCCTGAATATCTGTAACATCTTGCTTCCCAATCTCTTTGAATAAAATCAAGAGCCAATTTCTGTATTATTTAGCCTACCTATATAATCTGTTTATAGTTTTTCAGTACATGAGTTTCTCCAAATTAGATAAAAACAGTTTTCCATAAATAACACAAACTACAAAACACAGAACAATTAAAATGGCAATAGTAAATATTTACTTATCAATCATTATTTTAAATGCAAATGCCTTAAATTTTCTAACCAAAAGATATAGAGTGGTTGAAGGAATTTAAAAAAAGATTCTATTATATGTTGCCTACAAAAACAAACAAAAAAAAACAAATAAGCAAGGAAACAAACAAAAAACCTTTAACTTTAAGGAAACACACAGAGTGAAAGTGAAGGAACTGAAAAAGCTATTTCATGCTGTAACCAAAAAAAAAAAAAAAAAAAGCTGGAGTGCCTCTACTTAGACAAAATATACTGTTAGTTAAAATTATAAAAAGAAACAAAAAAGTCATAATATAATGGCAAAGGAACAAATTTTTCAAGTGGATATAATAATTATAAATATATGCACCCAACAGTAGAGCTTCTAAATATATAAAGCAAATATTAACAGAATTGAAGGGACTACAATTCAATAATACAGCAATTCAATAACACAGGCTTCAATACTCCAATTTTAACAATGGATAAATCATCCAGACAGGAAACCTATAGGAAAATAACAGAACAGATAACATTCTAAGCCCAATGAACCTAATAGATATACTTAGAACATTTTATCCAACAGCAGCAGGACACACATTCTTCTTGAGAGCAGATGAGACATTCTCCAGGACAGCTTATCTTTTGGACCACAACACAAGTTTTAAAACATTTAAGAAGACTAAAATAATATCAACTATCTTTTCCAATTGCAATAGTATGAAACTAGAAATCAATAATA